>NC_000018.10:51529909-51830575 GCF_000001405.40 Homo sapiens | reverse complement strand
TAGGTCTAACATGTAAGTCTTTAATCCATCTTGAATTAATTTTTGTATAAGGTGTAAGGAAGGGATCCAGTTTCAGCTTTCTACATATGGCTAGCCAGTTTTCCCAGCACCATTTATTAAATAGGGAATCCTTTCCCCATTGCTTGTTTTTGTCAGGTTTGTCAAAGATCAGATAGTTGTAGATATGCGGCATTATTTCTGAGGGCTCTGTTCTGTTCCATTGGTCTATATCTCTGTTTTGGTACCAGTGCCATGCTGTTTTGGTTACTGTAGCCTTGTAGTATAGTTTGAAGTCAGGTAGAGTGATGCCTCCAGCTTTGTTCTTTTGGCTTAGGATTGACTTGGCAATGTGGGCTCTTTTTTGGTTCCATATGAACTTTAAAGTAGTTTTTTCGAATTCTGTGAAGAAAGTCATTGGTAGCTTGATGGGGATGGCATTGAATCTATAAATTACCTTGGGCAGTATGGCCATTTTCACGATATTGATTCTTCCTACCCATGAGCATGGAATATTCTTCCATTTGTTTGTGTCCTCTTTTATTTCGTTGAGCAGTGGTTTGTAGTTCTCCTTGAAGGGGTCCTTCACATCCCTTGCAAGTTGGATTCCTAGGTATTTTATTCTCTTTGAAGCAATTGTGAATGGGAGTTCACTCATGATTTGTCTCTCTGTCTGTTATTGGTGTATAAGAATGCTTGTGATTTTTGCACATTGATTTTGTATCCTGAGACTTTGCTGAAGTTGCTTATCAGCTTAAGGAGATTTTGGGCTGAGACAATGGGGTTTTCTAGATATACAATCATGTCATCTGCAAACAGGGACAATTTGACTTCCTCTTTTCCTAATTGAATGCCCTTTATTTCCTTCTCCTGCCTGATTGCCCTGGCCAGAACTTCCGACACTATGTTGAACAGGAGTGGTGAGAGAGGGCATCCCTGTCTCGTGCCAGTTTTCAAAGGGAATGCTTCCAATTTTTGTCCGTTCAGTATGATATTGGCTGTGGGTTTGTCATAGGTAGCTCTTATTATTTTGAGATACATCTCATCAATACCTAATTTATTGAGAGTTTTTAGCATGAAGGGTTGTTGAATTTTGTCAAAGGCCTTTTCTGCATCTATTGAGATAATCATATGGTTTTTGTCTTTGGTTCTGTTTATATGCTGGATTACATTTATTGATTTGCGTATGTTGAACCAGCCTTGCATTCCAGGGATGAAGCCCACTTGATCATGGTGGATAAGCTTTTTGATGTGCTGCTGGATTCGGTTTGCCAGTATTTTATTGAGGACTTTTGCATCAATGTTCATCAAGGATATTGGTCTAAAATTCTCTTTTTTTGTTGTGTCTCTGCCAGGCTTTGGTATCAGGATGATGCTGGCCTCATAAAATGAGTTAGGGAGGATTCCCTCTTTTTCTATTGATTGGAGTAGTTTCAGAAGGAATGATACCAGCTCCTCCTTGTACCTCTGGTAGAATTCGACTGTTAATCCATCTGGTCCTGGACTTTTTTTGGTTGGTAAGCTATTAATTATTGCCTCAATTTCAGAGCCTGTTATTGATCTATTCAGAGATTCAGCTTCTTCCTAGTTTAGACTTGGGAGGGTGTATGTGTTGAGGAATTTATCCATTTCTTCTAGATTTTCTAGTTTATTTGCATAGAAGTGTTTGTAGTATTCTCTGATGGTAGTTTGTATTTCTGTGGGATCAGTGGTGATATCCCCTTTGTCATTTTCTATTGCGTCTATTTGATTCTTCTCTCTTTTCTTCTTTATTAGTCTTGCTAGCGGTCTATCAATTTTGTTGATCTTTTCTTTTCATTTCTTTATAAAATGGAAATTATCAGCCTCATCATATCTATAGTTCAACCTACTGTTCAAAGGCCATTGGCAGTTCTGTCACTATTAATCTCAAGTAGAATGTCTGAAAGATTACTGAAGACAGCATATAGACAGGAATCTTCTTTGCTGGAGCCACTTCCCCAGAGGTTAACATTGTCTTTTTCCCCCTTCTCTAGATGCAATCTAGAGCCCAGAAACCTAGTAGCATGTTTGACATTCCTTTGCATTTAGCTACTTGGATACCAATGGGAATACAAATTCTAGCCAATAATTTCCTTCTTCTTTCCTATATCATCAAGGCTGATTCAGCATGTAACAGAATGTGCAACCTTATATTTTTCTAACCCCACAGAGTCTGCAAAACCCTTTTAAGTATAACCCTGGTTCTCAAATGTTTGCAGCCTTCAGAAGCACCTGGAGGTCCTGTTAGAGTACAGATTGCTGGCCTCACCCAGAGTCTCTGATTCAGTAGGTCTGGGATGGGGCCTGATAACTTGCATCTTTAACTCGTTCCCAGGAGACGCTGATGTGCTAGCCTGGGGTGCATCATCACAAAACTTTATTAAGGAAGTAGGCAACTACCTGTCAGCAATTGCAGGTACCATGAATAACACTGCTCCCCATATATTTCTTCCATTATTTGTGTTCTTTGGCTGAAGTTACTTTTTTGGATTTAAACAGCAAGAATCCTGCTAAAGTAAAACTAAGTTATCTGTGACAAATTGCTCCGGTAGACATAATGGTCATTGTCATTTTATCTCAGACATTTTTCATTTAGATTTGCTTAGAAATCAGCAGATGTTTTCTTAAAGAGCCAGAGAGTAATATTTTGGGATCTATGGTATGTTCACTCTCTGTTGAAACTACTCTACTCTGTCTTTGTAGAATAAGACAACCACAGACATGGGCAAAGGAATGGATTTGCTAATCTAGAGCCTGTTCAAGTTAGACCTGAGGGTCCAGAGACCTGAGGGATTCTGATGAAACAACTGACTCACAGAGAGTGTTGTCAGTTATAGCCACTCAGCTCTACATGTGGGAGGCCAGATTCACCCTGAGGTCCTCCAAAGGCTTCAGTTCCGTCACTGTCCCTCACAGGTTAGGGAAAGAGGCATACATTGTAACACTTAATACAATGTTCTAGCTTCATTTTAGATTTCCATTTTTGACTCTGTTAATCGACCCAAAGAGAATTAACAATATTTCTAATATAATCTAAACTGCTACTTATTGAGTGTGCCATAGAATTTCAATTTTCTTTCATATTAGTATTTGCCCACTGAATATTTAATAGAAATGAGAAATTATTTTTCTCCTTTTCTGATTACAAAAAGTTCAGAATAGTGCTGTGAAAAATTCAGAAAGGCATTTTTGTTGTCAACATGCTTTCTACCTGCCAGAATAGTCAGAAGGATACTAACCTCAAACCAAAAATGAATTCTTGATACTGTCATGTTTGGTTTCTTAGAATGGGAAAATATACATTTAAGGTATAAGGCATTCTAAATGGGGTTTTGGGGGTGAGTCCCTCAGATAGAAATTTAGAGACCTGGACAGGGAGTTTGAGGAAAAGACATAGTCTCTCTTGTTTGCTTTCTCATTCTCTCATATCTTAGAGGAACCCTCATTTTAGAGGAGCCTAAATCTGTTACACAACTTCCTTTATATGTTTAGAGTGAATTTCCTAGTTCGCAGCACAACTGAAATTAACAATGACCTCAATACCCTCTACTACATTCTTCCTCTAAACTAAAGCAGATTATATTGACATAAATCAAATTTATATACACGCACACATACATGCACATGACAGATTGACATTTTATATATTGTCTATATAAACTACATATATAATTTATTTATAGGCACAAATAGGGGAATGTGGTATGATATCCAAGTGTGTTACATAGACTTACTAATTTTAAATAATCATAGAACCATTTGAAAAAAACAGGTTGAGCAGGGAAAACAAAAGATACATAGTAATTAATATTTATATCATATTCTCATCTTTCCCTAAATTACTATTTAATTGCAAGTCACTCACCACCATTTGGAATAACAATAACATTAATGAAATGGCATTTACACCAGACACCAGATACGTAGCAAGGTCACTGAAACTTAGTGATGAGGAAAAAAATACAAGATTTTTTTTAAGCTATCATAAAGTATATATAAAACTCCTGTGGCAGTTTGCCACAAAAAGACGGGGGTTGGAGGAAGAATAATCTAAATGTTTTCCCAGGTTTTCAAGGTTCAAAAAAAATTGGAAAATTAAGAAACATTTTCAAAAAAATTAATTTTAAAGGAGTTGTATATCACAAGTTGGAGGCACATAGGAAAATCCCCATATGAGCAATAAATTTCAAAATACTAGACTAGAGAGATTAGCCTGTTACTGGGTCACACTAAAAACATTATTGCCAAGGAAGAAAGGAATAGTTTAAAAGATACCTACTGGTCACAATATGGCCATTCTTTCATTCGTCTTACTTTATTTTGTTCAGAAAAACAAATACACAAGTCGAATGGAGAGAAAACCTTGATGGCAATTCCTAGTAAAAGTGACCTAGAAATTTTTGTTCACCCCTGACTTTATATGAACCAAACTATGACTTTTTCTCCTTAAGGCAAATACCCTTTTATATGGAGTCAGTAGAAGTATAGCCTCACCATTCCCAGCTTTAGAGGGGCAATGTCCATTATCTGTCCGAATCCCCTTGCCCATACATACACTCCACCCCACAAAACCCACCTCCTCAGTTCCCCCAGGAGTCAGACTATATCTAGGTTATTCTTGACATGGTTTGGATGTTTGTCCCCTCCAAATCTCATGTGAAATGTGACTCCCAATGTCAGAGGTGGGGCCAGGTGTTAGGTGATTGGATCTTAGGGAAGGATCTCTATTGAATGGTTTGCACCATCCCCTTGGTAATGAGTTCATTCTTATTACTTCACATGAGATCTGGTTGTTTAAAAGACTGGGACCTCCCCCATCCCTCTTTTGCTCCCTTTCTCACCATATGAGGTTCCTGAACCCCCTTTGCCTTCTATCATGACTGTAAGCTTCCTGCAGCCTCACCAGGAGCAGAAGCTGGCACCACATTTCCTATACAGCCTATAGAACTGTATCCCAATTAAACCCCTTTTCTTTATAAATTACCCAGCCGCGGGTATTTCTTGGTAGTGATGCAAAAATTTACTAATACAATTCTGTTTAGGTAAATGCATATCTTAGCAATTAGAAAAAATCTAGAGGATGAACCTAGGGGTCCAAATCTGGAAACCACGTTCTATGAGGAATGACTAAAATACTTAGTGAAAATCATCTCGGTGGAGGGTGGGGAAATCGCTTAGTGGAATGTGATGGATGTCTTTCAGTATCTGAAAAGCCGCATTACAGACAGAGCCGTCAATTTGCTCTGATGACATAGAGAGAGTTGAATGAGGGTCAGTGTGCATTTGGATGGAGAAATCTGTTTAGTAAATAATGAATAACTAGAGTTACCTTATAGTATATTATTTTGTAATGTAGCAAACATCATTTCATCTGAAATACTCCAAGAAAGGCTAGATAATCGCTAGTCATTCATGTTGTAGAAAAGATCAAAATGTTCTAGTTAGCTTTACTTCTTATCTTTGAATCCTCTCCATAAACATTCTGCTATGTGGTCACTCAGCTTATGACAGTACATGTCCACTGGGAGAAAAGGCAACCCTTTGGGAGGATAATGGAGCTCGACTTGTATTTCTTACAGTGTAGTTGCAGGCTGTCTGTATCAGATTACACAGCTTGTTTATCAAAACATTCCACCATCCCGCACCAGAATGTCTGGATGGCCCCAGAAACCTGCATCTTTAATTGACTCCTCAGATGACTCTGATGCACATTAGAGTTTGAGGCCCATTGAACTAGATAAATATAAAGTCTTTCTGATGCCAAGAGATGATGATAAAGAACAGTGGGATAGATTCTGAATTTCCCCACAATGATTAATTCAGTGCTATAAAGATATTTTAAGTGAACGGATACTTGCAAGCTTTGAGGTCATAGTAAACTAGTATTTAATGAAGAATTTTCTTCTTTCTACAAAAGAGTCCATGGATCTTTCTCTAATGCCAGCTTCCATGACATGGTTTCCATGGACTGTGACAAACTAGGATACTCTAACCTTACATGAACACATTCCCACTTCCATTCCAAACAATAGACACCAAGCATCACCACTGTGGCAAATGCCAGTTTGCTCTCTCAGATCTTGAAACAGAAGTTTAGAACTGGAAGATATCAAACTTGACTCTTGTCTAGACCTTTGTGGAAGCACCTGGCTACCTATACCGGCAGGATCAGGCCCAGCCTGATCGAGTCATGGGGTCTTTTCATCTAAGTTTTGCAGAATTCAAGCCTGACATCCCCTTCATTCTTACCTCCCTCTTTCTCTGGTTATAAATCTTTACAGGGAGTGACTTAACAGACATGAGAAATCACAAATCACACTCTAGGAATATTGAAGTCTCCTTGTGCAATCATATGTGGAACTATAGAGTCCTTAGATTCTAAGGACTTAAGTCAATTTTATAAGTATTTACAGAGTACCCACTTTACACCTGGCATTGTAATTTCAGAGGTTAAAAAAAAAGTTGAATCAACCAGTAGAAAAAAATTGAAGTTCCTTGATATTCACTCCTAGAATTCTCACCCTTGGGAAACCTTCTTACCCATCAGCAAAGAGTAATTTTTATATCTTATAAACTTCCTTACCTATAAACTGTTTCTTCACAGGAAAAATAGAGATCTAATATTTGGTTTTCCCAAAAGAACAGTTCCCATCTTCTTGGATATGGTCTCTTCCTTTATTAACTATGGGCCTCAAACATGTGGGTATCACCCTGATTCACCCTGATTTGCTGACAATGTTGAGGAGTGACTGCTGACTGAGTTTCTCACCCCAGATGGGTCAACCTATGATGTTGCTGAAGCATTTTTGAATTTGGATGGAGAAATTGACTTTCAATCTCTCTGTGGAGGCAGGGGTAGAAAATGTAGGGCATCCAAGCTGCTGGTGGCAATGTTTCCAGCTCTGTGGAAGAAGGTAGTGTGTGTCAATAAAGCCAACATACAGACAGAAGAAAGATGAGCAGGTGGTATCCAGGCTGCGTATCCAGTCACACAGAGGATTGACTGTTTATCAAGGCATATGTTTGTCCTTCCAACAATGTAATTAGGTGCAGAAAAATTCAGTAGGTTCCTTTCTGTATCTAGCTAATTTGAACAGTTTCCCTTTCCTGCCACCAAAAACGTTGTGCTAACCAACAGGAAACATAAACATATCCAGTAATTGAAGTCCTATTGTACACAGACTCATAATTCTCCTGACTCTTCATCTATTCAGTTGCACTTTTCTGAGAGTTGATGGAGAGCCCTTGTAACAACCTAGATCCTACCTAATATAAGATCAGAAACTAAGTCCTGTAGCTAAGAGAATATTCTTGGTGGAAATCATTAGAACTCAAAAAATGTTTTTTATGTGTTTTTAAATGTAGATAAGAATGAAGGAATTGGGGAAATACTTTGAAAATAAGAAGGGGCTAAAAACTAATACTCCAGTCAATGTTTTCTGTTGTATCACACAGACGTATATTCAAAGCCCTGTGATATAGTAGAATCTTAGAAAATCCCAATTCTCTCCTAGTCTCTGTGCCCACGTTAAAATTCATATTCTATTAAGATGTTTTTCTGATCAGAGGAAGAATATCTTTAATGTTAACAGAAATAATACCTAAGGAAATTTCCAACAGAAATTGAATACAGTATTCGTATCTGTCCATAAACAACAAACAGGGTGTGTATTTGCATATCGGAGTGAGTGTCGACGAGATGGGTTGGCTAAGAAGAGGCAGGGACAGGAAGGATAAGCAAGGGAGAATGGAGAAAGAAAGCAAATTAATGGCTAGAAAGTATTTTATAGCTACCTGATGTTTATTGACACCCTGGAGGATTATTTAATGCAGGATTTTTCTGATCTGGGTTTAAATAAGGACCAAACTAAATTAGTAGAAGAAAAACTATAGATGTCTTGAAGGAGTATGGCAGTGGAATGGAACATAGACCTAAAGCTAACATTTACAAATAGATAAGGAGAGTTGATCCCAAGAAAAAATAAAAATCAAACAGGCAGATTCAAGTCTCTTTCTTTTAGTCACCCATCTATCTCTTTGTCAGTATTGAACACTTATTATGCTTCAGAGCCAGGGCTAAGGGCTATGGAGAATACAAACATGAATAAGACAGCCCCTGTCTGTAACAATGACCTTCTAGAACAAAAAAAAAGAAGATGTGAACAAAAATAACTCAATACCCAAGACAGTGTGAGTATCATGAGTGATTTAACCTTTTCTTAGGATTCAGAGCAGAGAGAAACCATTTTCTACTAAGAAGCTTCATGGCAAAGGTAGCATAGGAACGCGAACTTACGGGATACATTCACTTTCAAAGCCACTCATCCAAAAATAAGGAATCCCAAAGCATCAAATAAAACCCCTCCATACATGCTTGATGGCTCCTGATACTCAGTAAATGTAATTGACTTGTTTCCCTTCCATTTCTAGCAGTGAGGTCACAGAGTTTCCCAGGGTTTTGCCTGATTTCTTTCCCACTCTCTAGTTTCTTCTGAAGATGCAGTTATTGTAAAACATGCTTTTTAAAAATGCTTTGATGGAAAGGAAGAAGAGCTCAGCTCAGAGAGGAGAAATCCCTTCTGCATTTAGTGAATATACACCAAAGAGGCTCAGATGCTAGACCTAGAATGAATTTCCTGAATAGTTCTTCCAGGTGTCACATTTACATGAAAACACCATCCAGATGGCATGCTAGCCCTGAAGAGACTTGAGACCACAAGCAGAGTTCCTTGTGTTCTTCAGAACTACCAGAGTTGGAGCTGGATGACAAGAAGACATTACAAACCTCCAGTGGCCCTAACCTCCCACCCCTTCAAGCATGCCTCCTCTGGGGAGAGACTGAAACAGCTAAAATACAGAAAGAAGTCTGAGAGCTCCCGGAAAAAAATGACAAATGCATATTTTAAATAAATAGAGAATTCCCTAAAACCAGACAAAATATTTGTAGAAAAATTAATATTTAACCTTAGGCTAAAGAAGATGGAAGGCAGTTCTGTTCATTCCCCAATACACTGTCTCTCCACCATCAAAAGATCTTTGTAGTAGCAGTAAAGAGATAATAGATATAGAAGAATATGTGTGCTTATTGTTTTTAAAAAATAAAACAAGGACAATAAAGAAAACATAAGCACAAATCAAAAAGAATCAAACTGGCATCTTTCTGTTCATATGCAACCTGAGAAACTTGAAGTCTTTGTAAGAAAAGACTCATGAGAGAAAAGAACTGAAACTCAAGAATTCTCCACCTAGCTAAATTACCATTCACCTATGAGAGTAAAATCAAGTTACACAAAGATAAGCAGAAATTCAGAAAGTATTTTACCCAAGCATCCTGCCTAAGAAAAATACCGTGAGGGGTGGGAAGAGGACTAATGCAACAAAAAATAATCCAGAAAGGGATTTCAAGACAAAGAGTAAACAATAATAAACAATAAATATGTTAAATGTATAGATGTGATTACATATAAGAGGGCATAGGATAGGCTTTATAGCTGTCCAGGGGCATGTTAGCATTATTCTCAGATACATATAAGATTTTTAATATAATTTCACAATTCTGAGTTCAGAACATACTTAGATGAGGACATGTTACTTGGGGAAACTGAGAGTGAAAAATGAGAACTGCTTTGGTGACTGAGTGGATCTTACTGTACTGTTCTCTTTGGTCAAGTCTATATTGTATAACAACAGAATTTAAGGTTTCCCAAGGGTTTCCTGGTTTTAGCACTGAAAGTTGCATATCACAGATTGGGCACGGTGGCTCACGCCTGTAACCCCAGCACTTTGGGAGGCTGAGGCAGGCAGATCATGAGGTCAAGAGATCAAG
The DNA here is from genome assembly GCF_000001405.40 of Homo sapiens. NCBI lineage: Eukaryota > Metazoa > Chordata > Mammalia > Primates > Hominidae > Homo > Homo sapiens. Next base: position 51,820,731 of record NC_000018.10, on the reverse strand, counting down.
ACCATCCTGGCCAACATGGTGAAACTGTGTCTCTACTGAAAATACAAAAATTAGCTGGGCATGGTGGTGTGCACCTGTAGTCCCAGCCACTCAGCAGGCTGAGGCAGGAGAATTGCTTGAACCTGGGAGGCGGAGGTTGCAGTGAGCCAAGATGGTGCCACTGCACTCCAGCCTGGCGACAGAGTGAGACTCCATCTCTAAAAAATAGTAATAATAAAATAAAATTTAAAAGTCCCATATCACAGGAATCTTTTCAGTTAGGACAAAGTAAATGGTTGGTCACTCTAGGTACACCTGACTTAGATGAAGTTGCCCCCAACAAATATTCAGAACAACCTATGTATAGAACTGTCAGGCCTAGGGTGCAACACCTGGGATCCTAAAGTTGTAAAGCAGCAGACCTCCAGCAAAGGCAGGAGGTGGGGGTGGATCTTCCCTGCAGAGGACATGTTGTAATGTCTGGAGATGTTTTTGATTGTCCAACTGGAAATGGATGTGAGGTATTAGAGGAATGCCCCCAGCATCTAGTGAATAGAGATCAGGCCAGGGTTGCTGCTTACTATCATACAATGCACAGGACAGGCCTCCAAAATTAAGAATTATCTGGCCTGAAACATTAGTGGTACCCAAGTTGAAAAGCTCTGGTTTTGATATAAAAAATGGACAAAGAGATACCAGGTCAGTGCAAACCATATGACAGCAGAAGAGCCAAAATTAACAGCAAACAACTTGATTCTACAGATTAAAAACATGAACAAGATAAAGACACACAATTTGAATTGGAAAAAAAAAGACAAAATGATCATAAACCGTATGAACAAAATAATATGTAGGCTAAACATATAAGCCAAAAACTATTGGGAAAGACAGGAAGAATTTGACAGAGCATATAATTATAATGGGAAACAAAACTCTCTCTAGATTAGTCAATTCTAGTAGATAAAAAAATAAACAAAAGTAAAACTATAAGAATTAACACTAAATCTTTTCGATGAACACATTTTTTGGTAAGTTCTAACAATGTACACAAAAACAATCAAATATTTGACCACAAAAAACCATCAGTTTATAATAGATGTTTATAGGCCATATTCTTGCAGGCAATAAAATTAGGGGAAAAAAATAAGTGACCAAAGAAACTTAGCTGATTCAGAATTAAGGAAACAAGCAAAAACAACAACAATAAACTTAAACCCATATAGCTCTAGCTAAAATTAAAATGGAAGTTATAATTTATCTACAAAGCAATTTAAATGAACATACATGATACCACAATTTAAAGGACACAATGAAAATGATACTTAGGAGAAAATGTATTGCCTTAAATGTCTTCATAATTAAAGATGATAAAACTAGAACTAAGAACTTAACTAAGGTAATGTGAGGAGGGAGCGAGGGAAGAAGAGGCTGACTCCAAAAGAAGGACGAAAGTAAAAGCTGAAATTTTGGAAATAGAAATAGAAAAAAATAAACATATCCAAACCTAGTTATTTGAGAGACTAATATGTTAGTAAAGTCTTTTGTGTTCCAGAACATGAAGAAACAAAAATAAAGAAGCCTAGACATGAGACTAAGGCTCTAATCAGAGATACAGAGGAAAGAAATTCTACTTGTAACAATGGGGCAGCAAGTTTTGGGGTCCTGGATAAAATGAATTATCGGACAAATATGAATTACTAAAAATTTAAGAACAAAGATATATCAAAGCCAGAGAAGATTAGGAAAGTCATTAAATACCCAACCTTGTGAAAACAGAATGCTTAAATTTCTCTAAACAATAGGAAGAAATAGAAGGCTCTCTAATTCACTTTTTAAATCAGCGTAAGTTCATTATCAAAAGTTGAAAAGGTAATATAAAAAAGAAAATGATAGATCAATCTTATGAATAAAAATTAAAATTTTAAATACCCTATAAAACAGTTGGTAATACAAAAATCAATATATTTGAAGAAGCTGAATTTATTTCAGGGAAGAAATAGTGTTTTAATATCAGGAAATTTATTAACATAACTTACTATATCAAAAAATAAAATCAGAAAAAATAGTCTATTATTATGGATTCTGGAAAAGTACTTTAAAACCTTCATATATTCCTAATAAAAAAGACTACATACCATCAGAAAGAAACAATTTATATTAACCAATCATGTTGGTTAGTCATTTATCAAAAACCAAACACAAATACCATATACAACAAAAATTATTTCAATATAAACCAAGAACTAGAAAGAAATCTATGATCATCATTACTATTCAAAATTGACTTGGCAGCATCAGTAAATGTAATAAAATGAGAAAACTAATTTATATACACATCAAAAGATAAGATAAAATTTATATTATTTTATAGCTAGAAAACTTGTGAGATATTAGTTTAAAAGAAATACAAAAACCTTATCCTTCTAAGAATAGAGCTTTGTAAGATGGATGGATGCAGGACAAATATATAAAAATCAATAGCTATTCTCTATTCTAGCAAAAAGTAACCATATATGAATATGTGAGGAAAAGCCACTTGCAATCAGAACAAAACAAATAGGAATAGACTTCAAAAGAAAAGGAGGGGATTTATCTTAATAAAACCAAAGAATATTAAAAGAACTATAAGAATAAATAAGTAAGAAAAGGTATAAAATGTTGTTATGGAAGAGTTGATACAATAGAAATGTTATTTCTTTCAAAATTAGTATACAGCTCATTTCAATTAGGAAAAAAATTAACACGAAAGAAGAAATGCCTGAGAACAGACAATAAAGCTATAAAAAGGAAGAGAAGAATTCTGAAGGGAAACTTGCCTTTCTATATAAAGAATTATAAATATTTGAACAGAAAATAGAAATCAAAATTAAATCACTGTGTGTTAAGTATGTGGCAAGTTCAGTAGTTCAAAATTAGTGAGAAAAGGAACATGAACATGTGAATAATTGAATATGACACAGCTAGTCATTCATCCACCCAGAAGAAAACAAAAATGGGCTCCTATCTTAAAGTTTTTACGTGGATTAAAAGCTTAAATTTTAAAACACTATATATAATAAATATCATGAAAGAAAATCAAGAAGTCTATTATATAATACAGAGTTCAGGGAAACATTCCTATTCAAGACTGAAAACTCAGAAACTAAAACTTAAAAACACTGAAAATTCTTTGAAAAATTAAAACTGAAAATGCATATATCCAAAAAGATACCATGAGGTCAATGTCATATATCTGATGAGGAAATATAACACAGATGTAAGATAGAAGGACAGTTTCCTTAATATACCAAGAACGTTTACAAGTTCCTAAGGAAGAAAGACAATTCAGGAAGAATTGTACAGGAAAGGAATATACATAAAAATTGATAATTTATGAACAAAAATTTAAAATGACCAAATACATGAAAAGATTTTTATACTAATGAAAATTTAGCTAAATAAAAAATAAAGTTAAAGTGAATGATTTTACATCAGACTGATAAAAACTAAAAGGTGTTACACCTACTCTTGATAGGGATATGGGGAAAAGGAATTCTCATCTATTGTTGGTAGAAGGTAATGTGCTACAGCCTTCTTGAAGAACAATCTATTAAAACTGTTAAAATGTAATAAAATCTTTAACTCAGCTCGTCCAAATTCTTCCTGGAAACCTTCTACAAAATTGTTGGAAATAGCTAAAAACTGGATTAGCTATAGTTATTGGCCTGTTAGCAAAGGAGTTGCTGAGTAATGTATGGTAGTTTCACCACGGAATGTTATGTAGCTACTTAAAAGAGGGAATGAAAACTGCCAGAGGCGATCTTAACAAAGTATTATTGGGTAAAAAAATATATATAGAAGAAAATGTTGGTGTTGCTTAAATCCAAACACGCAAAAATAAAGAAAAAAATATATATATATGTTTATGCATATATGTGTGTATAGGCTTATCTAAGTAGAGGGGAAATAGGAGAGAAAACCCATCTGATTGTTTTGTAGGTTACTGGAAAAGGAAGGGCATGTTAAAATTTGTGTGGGATTAGGGAAAGAAAATCAAAGAAACAAAATTGAAAAATAAAGATGACAAAATCCCATGATTACTGTTTACTTACAAATTTAAATAAAATTATATATTTGAATAAAACTAAATTTAAATAACTGAAAATTTTAAAAATAAATGAACCTTTCCTGCTATCTGTCCCCACTAAGGCCATGTAAGTAATCACAGAAACACAGAACGGCTCTACTTCACAAATGATGAGGAAGTTTACCTTAAATCAGATAAAAATTGATTTTGTCACGATGAATCTTGATAGTGACATCAAGGCCTTTGATTGTGTTTTTCTAACATTATTCTCAAGAATTGGGTCTATTCCTCATAGCAGATAACCCAGTCCCAGACAATATCAGGCCCAGTATTCTCATTTGCTAGATGAGGAAATTAAGGTTCAAGGAAGACTGAAGTCATTTTTCCTAGTTGCAGTGCTCAACAACGTGGAAAATAACCTAGAAACTACTTCCTCTCCACAGGTTTCTCCAACTTTCAGCTTTGTTCCCATTATTCTATGAGGCCTCTGCCATCCAGGATTTGGAAGAATTCTCTCAGGGCCATACCAGCATAAAAGAAAGAAGTAGAAATCAATAGAGTAGAAAGGTCTCATCCTCCCAGATGGAGCACATATGACATTTTCTTCTTAAGAAGAGGGAATTGTGTCATGTGTATGTTCATTGCCACACTACTCACAATAGCAAAGACATGGAATCAACCTAGGTGCACATCAATGGTGCATTGAATAAAGAAAATGTGGTACAAATATACCATGGAATACTACACATCCATAAGAATGAATGAAATCATATTCTTTGCAGCAACATGGATGCAGATAGAGACCATAATCCTAAGCCACTTAATGCAGGAACAGAAAACCAAATACTGCACTTTCTCACTTGTAAGTGGGAGCTAACCACTGACCACACTTAGACATAAACAGGAGAACAATAGACACTGTGGACTTCTAGAAAGCGTAGACAGGGAGCGGGGCTTGGATTGAAAAACTACCTATTGGGCCGGGTGCAGTGGCTCACACCTGTAATCCCAGCACTTTTGGAGGCCAAGACGGGTGGATTACTTAAGGTCAGGAATTCGAGACCAGCCTGCCTAACAAGGTGAAGCCTCATCTCTACTAAAAATACAAAAATTAGCCGGACGTGGTGGTGGGCACCTGTTATCCTAGCTACTTGGGAGACTGAGGCATGAGAATCACTTGAACCCGGGAGGCGGAGGTTGCAATGAGCTGAGATCACGCCACTGTATTCCAGCCTGGGCAACAGAGTGAGACTCCATCTCAAAAGAAAAAGAAAAACTACCTATTGGTTACTATGCTCACTACCTGGGTGCATATACCCACATAGTAAACCTTTACATGTACCCCCTTTATCGAAAATAAAAGTTGAACTTAAAAAAATTCCCACCAAAAAAAAAAAACCTCTTGCACCAGACACAGTGAATCACAGTGTATCCCAAAGCTCTACCCATTTACTTACTTATGGAAGTCATGCCCCAGCCAAATGTCTACATGCCTACATAATGCTCTTACCCATAAGTTTTTATTCAATTGTTCATGCTCCAATCCCAAGACCATTACTTCTTTAACTCAGTTGGTAATTTTCACATATCCAACAATTGTTACTACTCCTACATGAGTAAGAAGAAGCTGAAACAAAGGTATTTAAAGTCATTCTCTCCCCCTTTTTAGAATAACAGAACAAGTTAACATGAATTAACTACTTCATGCAACGCAGATTATTAATGAAGCCCTGTCGCTAATTTAAGCCCTAGAAAGATCAGATTATTTTTTCCTGCAAGAGACTAAAATTGCAACGTTGGTTACTTAACAGTCAAGCAAGAGGCTATGAATCCCTTGTTGCCAATTCAGTATCTCCACTAGAGGAATAATTTAAGGCATATGACCTGTTAGGTAGGTGGAAGATAACTATTGTATGCCAAAGACATCATGTTTCTATCTTCAGCTATATTTCTGTTTTCAATTATGGAGTAAAGAAGTATGGCTAACATCCAAATCACCCAAGCTGAGCAGCTCCTCCTAACTCAGTCCACAAGTATTTGTTCATTATTCCAAGTAGCAGCGCTGAATAGGAACTATGTGAGAGCTACAACCCTGGCCCTGATTAAAGCTGGCAAAGTTATTTTGCTTCTCTGTGACTTAATTTCCTCATCTGTAGAATAGATTGTTTTCAGCTCCAATAAAATAAAGTTTGTAAAGTGGTCAGCATTGTGCCTGGCCATACAAACACTTTAAAACAATTACAGTAAGTTCTCATTTAACGTTGTTGGTAGATTCTTGGAAATTGAAACTTTAAGTGAAATGAGCCAGGCACAATGTGTCATGCCTGGAATCCCAGCACTTTGGGAGGCCAAGGTGGAAGATCTCTTGAGTACAGGAGATGGAGATCAGCCTGTGTGAAATGGGGAGACCCTGTCTCTAAAAAAACAAACAAACAAACAAATTAATTAGCTGGGCATGGTGCTGCGCACCTGTATTCCAACTACTCAAGCTACTCAGGAGGCTGAAGCGGAGAATCACTTGAGCCCAGAAGTCAGAGGCTGAAGTGAGCCATCATTGCACCACCGCACTCCAGCCTGAGTGACAGAGTGAGACCTTATCTCAAAAATAAATAAGTGAAAGGAAATATAACAAAACCATTTTCCCCTCATTAACATTATAACAAAACAATGTCAAATGAGTTATGCTATTTGAAGACTTGCTTGCTGTATGTAGTTTCACTTAAAGTCATAGTTTCCAAGAACCTATGATGACATTAGTGAAGACTTACTGCACTGTCATTTATAAGGAAAGTCTTTGTATTCAACCCTACTGGCAGGCTTTGTGGAAATCACAATCAGAGACAAAATCCTCACACGCACATAAAAATTAGAGACTTAATTGCTGAACCTAGCTGGTGCATATTCTGAGTCCTTTTGATCCTTAGAAGTGAGGGAGGTAGATGAAGAATTGTAGTGGTATAAGTATTACAAGTCCATGGGAAAGAACCTCAGTTTCCAGGAGAGATCCTCTGAGGAGGAGCTAGGATGTGATGATCTGAATCTTTTGTATGTGAATACAGCTTAGGAAAGGGGAATAAATGACCATGGAAATGATTTCCCAGAAATTTCAAGAAAATAGTTTTCACAGTGGAGTTGTCAAGAGTAGTGGTTCCTAGACTACACCAGGATCACATGGGGGGCTTGTTAAAACACAGATTGCCTGGCCGCCTCCTCTAGAGTTTCAGATTCAGTAGGTCTGGGATGAGGCTCAAGGACTTCAATTTCTAATAAGTTCTCAGGTGCTGCTGCTACTGGTCTGGGGACCACACTTTGAAAACCACTGGTGTCCATAACTAAATCTGTTTCCCAATTTGGTTTATTGATGAAAACTTGAGTAAAGAAAATTAATGTGAGTAGAGAGAGTTCTAAGCATAGAGCATTTTCACAGACCTTTTCAAAACTTTCCATCATCCTTTGACATGCTCTACAGCCTTCAAATGTCGTCAACAAGCAGCTGTTTAAAATAAAAACTTCTCTTGAAAAGGTAGTAGAGGAGACAAATGTGATTAATCTTCTTTTATTTTGTATCTGCAGAAAAATGGCTCTGGTGTTTTGCTGTAGATTTTGACATGTAGCCAGAGTTTGGCTTTGAAAATAACCACAGCATCTCTGCTCCAGGAGACATCAGAAGCAACAATTAACATTCAGACAATCCCACTCAGACTCCACTAGCAGCCCAGATTCTTGTGCCCCTGGGAATATTGACCCAAAGAATCAATTTTCCTTATAAATTAAAGGGGGTGAAAAGATCTAATCATTAAAGCATATGAGATTTGGTTTAAGTGCAGGACAATTATGCTACGTGAAGAGAGTATGATAGTTCAAATATCAATCATTTGGCAATGTTGTTATGTTTGGACTTGGGGAGTCCTTAGTAACCAAAAGAGGAGGTGACAACTTTTAAGGGATCATGCAAGCTTTTCCAAATATGGGCTTGTATGTTCAGGAAATACATTTATTAAAAAATGATGAAATTTGGTTATTTGTAATACTTGTATGATCCAAATGTCCATTGGCTTAAAAGACAACAGCCAACTGAGAGCAGAACACTCCCCATATAAAGGACTGCCCAGTGTTTCTGGAGTCCCCACGGTATGTACTTCTTTACCAGTCTCTTGCCTCATTCTCCCACTCCATCTGTGGCCCTCATGTGACCACGTTTTCTGCTTCCCTGCTATGCTTCTTGGGGTGATGAACTATAGCCATTGATCCACGTCTAGGTAAGCAATGCTGTCTCTGGAAGGGCCCAGAGTCCCAGCTGTGGGGTTCCAGGTGCTGTGGGAGTCAGGGATTAGGTCTGTCTTCCCCACCCTGTGCCCCATTTTGGACCTGCTTTGCTGAGCTAAGGGCACTACAGCAGCTCTCTTGAACAATAGTGTATCCATCTGCTAGGGCTGTTCTAATGGAATACTGTAGAGTAGCTTATACAACAGACATTTGTTTTCTCACAGCTCTAAAGGCTGAAACTCCAAGTTTAAGGTGTTAGCAGGTTTCGTTCCTTCTGAGGCCTCTCTTGGCTTGCAGATGGCCACCCTTGCTGGGGTTTCACATGGTCTTTTCTCTGTGTGCAGCATCTCTGGTATCTCTTCCTCTTCTCATAAGAAGATAAGACATACTGGATTAAGGCCACACCTTAACGGCCTCCTTTCAACTGAACTGCCTCTTTAAAGAGCTTATCTCCAAATATGGTCAAATTCTGAGGTACCAGGTGTTAGGTCTTCAACATATGAATTTGGTGGTAGAGGACCACAATTTAGCCTATAACAAAAAGCACAGTTGCATTCTTACTGTAATATTTCATTCTTCAAAGCCCATTTGAAAGACCCGGTCCAAGGAAAAAAATCCCTACACTTTTATCTTCCCACCAAAAGTCAACTAAAACTCTATTACAAAAGTAAAACTCCCATGAAAGTGAATTTTTAAAAGAGACAGAGGTTGGTGTAGGTGTGTCCTGGGATGAGGATATTGTCTATATCAGCCAAGAACAAACTGTCTAGCTTATGCCTTAAGTTAGATGTTATAGCACTTGGAGATAAACGTATCCCTTCCATTAACAGATCACCTAATCCAGACCTTTTATTTTACAACAAAGGAAAAAAAATGCCCAGATCAATTAAGTGACTTCGTAATATCACACAGTTAAACAGTGATAAATCTGCCTCTCCCAATTCCTAACGCTCTGCTTTTCCCACTACACATAGTTCCTGTCTATAAAATGCCTGTAGCTCTTAAGCATGGAAGGAAGCCAGGATCCCATCTGCTCTACCTAAAGTCCCCAGGAGTCACCTCAGGTGGAACTTAGGATATGGTATTTCTGAGGAGAGCTGCCATCCACGCAATTCTCCCATGTTCTTCCTACAGAATACTTCAATGAGGCCAGGGTTCCAGGGAGAGGAAAAAAAATTTGCCACATACTCATAACATTCAGGTACCCCAATGATATACACAAGAATTGTAGAGAACAGCCCAAGCCAAACAAACAAACAAAAAACCGTGGTTCAGAAAGTCCTCAAAATTTAGTTAATTCTTCATTTTGTGGACAACAACCTTTCCCTATTAATTAGCTTTATCCAATGAGAAATTATTTTTATACACATATTATACGCACATACACATACATGCACACACATACACATGCCTACATACATGTACATGTGTATATGCATATGTACATTCATATATACATATGTACATATTTTTTATATATACACACACAAGTGGCTCCTAAACAACATGGGTTTGAACTGCACAGGACCACATATTTGTGAATTTTCTGCTACCCCAGAGACAGCAGGACAAACCCCTCCTTTTCTTCCTCAGCCTACTCAATCTGAAGACAAGGACAAAGATGTTTATGATGATCCACTTCCACTTAATGAAAAGTAAATACATTCTCTCTTATGATTTTCTTAGTAACATTTTCTTCTCTCTAGCTTACTTTATTATAATAATACAGCATATATACATAAACATACAAAACGTGTTAATTGGCTGTTTTGTGTTAATTGACTTTAGGACAACTGTAGGTTATTAGTAAAGTTTTTGAGAGTCCAAAGTTATATGTGGATTTTACATTACATGGTGGATAGGAGCAGGCAGTCAGCACTCCTAACCTCTGTATCATTCAAGGGCTAACTATACATAGTTTTATCTAAAATGCACAGAAATTTGAGACATAAAGTTATTTTTAACCAAATCTTCAGAAAATTTCCTCAATTGTTCAATTATGTCCATGTGAGTTAAAAGACCTGAACGTGCTAGACATCCCCAAATAGTCCTAGACATCCTGAAATTGTCCAATTATGTCAATTTGATTTAAAAGGCCTGAAAGTCCTAGACATCCCCCAAAATTAGTGATGCTGGGCCACACAGCCTTTTGCTTCTGCAGGCCTCAGCCCCTAGAGCCATTTCTGTGAATCAGTTGCCCTTTCCTGTCCTCAGGTCGGCACTGTGAATAGAACAACTAAGTAGTTCAAGCTACTCACCCAAGAATTGAAAGACCTAGATAATGACAATGAATTAGTTTAATATTATTGTTGTAGGCACCATAATCATCAAATATAGAGCCTGTCTAACACAAAACATATATTGTAGGCCATGTAGGTATCGTATCAAGTTTTCTAAACTAATGGCATTAGAGAGAGAACAAGACCAGCTTCTCGCCAGAGGCTATCAAAATGCTCTGTCAACTAACCCAAATCATTTTGAAGATGTCTGCCAGCACATTGCTATACAAAATTGGCAACTTTGAAATCCTTCTGAATAATGACCTTAGACATGTAGTCTGACTTATGGGTGCCCCCTCTTCCTACCAATTAGCAATGCCTTTTCTTCCCCTCTTCAACCTCATCCTAGTATTCTTCAATGTTAATTAATTCATTTATCCATCAAATATTTACTGGACACACACTAGGATACTCCTAATCAGCTGGGACACAGCACCCTTAATTATCTCAAAACACCCCCTTCTGACCTGTCTTAGGACTTTTGTCAAGCCAACAGCCTCATGCTGAAGGAAATCTTATGTATAGGTAGTTGTAATTTGTAACATGGGACATCACCACCACCATTCTGATGGAATCAAACAGATGTCTGTACTTGTTTGGAATGAGACAGGGATGCTCAGTATTGGAGAATAATGTGTGAACCCCACTACAAGGGACTTTTAACACAAGAGGCACAGATATGTGTGCAAAAAACATAAACCAAATGAGGAAAACACACTAAGCATAGAGAATAATGAGAAGCCACAACCTAACTGGAGCTTTTACTAAGCAGAAGCCAGAGTGGCTGGCAAAGCAAAGAGGAGAGGCAGGTAAGAAAGGGAAGGAAAGTTGGGGCTGCTGCTGAGTCACAATAAGGCAGTCTAGAAAATTATTATTAATTCACAAGAGCAGCTACTGAACAGAGTTATTGAAACCTAAATGATGATAAATGACATTTTAGTGCTCCAGTAGGACTGCCTTCACAACCAATGAAGTATTTTTTGTCCTTTCTCATTTCCTTGGTATCAAAGGAAATCTGAGTGTGCCTCTTTTACTTCAATTAGGAGAGAGAATCTATCTAGCAGCCAATGGGTAGAAAAGACAAACATACCAAGAATTATAGTACATGTGATAGGTGGGTGTTACAGAATAGAGGAAGACCTTAAAACAAATTAAGGATTATAGGAAAACAGAGGGAGACCTTTAACCGAAGATTAATTACTTCTTGGGCTGAGTTTTAAAGGTCAGATAGGAACTGAAGACATGGGAAAAAGACATTTGAGGCAAAAGTTACTGGGTATGAAGGCACTGATGCATGAGAGAGTTGGCTGGGTCCAGGAAACTACAAGTATTTTGACCTGGCTGGAATGAATGCTGAATTTGTGGGCATGCCCAGAGTTAAGATTAGGGGCAGCCAGGGGCTGACAAATAGTCTGGTGACTAAGATAAGGTGTTTCCTATCCAATAAAAACTTTGGAGATCCATCGAAGGACTCTAAATGAAAGAGGGAGACAATCAGGTTTGCATTTCAGAAAGTTCCTTCTGGCTTGATTTGAGAATAGATTGGAGTGTGGCCACAATGGAAGCAGGGAGTCTAGTTAAAAAATAAATATTGTCCCCAGGTTGGAACTAGTGAGTGACTTAGCCAAAAGGGGAATAGAGAGGAGCAGATACATAGGGAGAAAATATATTACAGAAGAGGTAAAAGTTGCAGAATTTGTTGATGTATTCAGTGGATGCAAAGAAGAACACTAAAATGACCCTAATATTTCTGGCTTGACCTCTGGATGAATGGCTATACTAATCACTGACACTAATAGAACAGAACGAGTAGTTGTAGTTAAGGAAGAAAAGGAGCTCACATTTGGAGATGATAATTTCAGTATATCTGTGGGACAAAACAGGCAGAAATGTCAGGTAGACATATATGGGCCTGGATCTCAGCAAAAACAGGTAGGAACCACTATAGAGAGAATAATCAGTGCTAGGCATTTTGTTACAATCCTGAGACTGCATATGGAAAGGAAGGAGCCCAGGATGAAGGGTGGGGCACTGGATGATACAGAACACATGACAGAGCAGGTGAGATCAGCTAAACTCCCCTGCAAGCCTTTCCTATCTCAATCCACAGAAACTCCTTTCTAAATTGCCGTAGCAGTGACCATCTTTGCCTCATTTCAAAAGGTGCTGTTGTATATTATTCCCCCATTGTTTGATGTATAAAGATCTCAACTCTGCCCTATGGAGACACCCTGTCTTATACTGCTGTTGCATGGTTTTCCACTATCACTAACTGTGGGACAACAATTCAGAGACAGGAGCTCTGAATGCTTCTCCCAATGTCCCAACAAAATATGCAACCTTGAGAAAACTGTCAAAGACGGCTATCATTTCATTGAACCTATTCCATCAGTCAGGCATGATACAAAGCACTTTATGGAACTGTTATTTATTTTTTTGACAAATCAATAAGGTAGTGTTAAAAGATAAACCTTAGACAAATTAATTTGAACAGAGTTTAATTGAACAAAGAACAATGTGTGAACTGGGCAGCCCCTGAACCAGAATAGTTTCAGAGAGGCTCTGGCGCACCTGCGTGATTGGAGATTTAGAGACAGAAAAAGGAGAGTAATATACAGGAAACAGAAGTGAGGTGCTGAAACAGCAGGATTGGTTACAGCTCAGCATTTGTCTTATTTGAGCATGGCTAGAATAGTTGGCCACCTTTGATTGGCTGAAACTCCATATTTGGCCCAAGAGGAGGTTACAGTCTGTTTACACATCCAGTTAAGTTACATTTTACTATGCACTTAGAAACCTTTAGGCCAACTGTAGAATACATAAGGCTTAGGCTAAACGTAATTTAACAGCAGAGACAATTATACTACAGAAATTAATAAAGTGAGGTTCTGAGAGGTTAAAGAATTTGTCACAAGGAACAGAAGCCAACTTTAAACCAAAATTTGTCTTAAACCCAAAGACCTGTTCTTCTTATTAGCCAGTCATTCTTCTTGGGCTGATCACTGCATCTCTTTTAACTTTCACCTCCTCATCTGTAAAACAGCATTAATAATGCCTGTTTTGTCTTCTTGAAAGAATTAAATAAGGTCAAACAAACTAATGTATATGAAGATGCACTGAACAGTATAAAATGCTATAGCGCAGAGACTAATACACATCAAATAGCCTCTTTGTGTTTCTACATTTCCCAGCCCCAATTCGATTAGGTGAGAGGAGTGACTAGTTGTGGACAATAAATGTGGGAAGTGACATCCATCACTTCTGGGTAGAAGCAATGAAAATTTCCTGAGATTCTCAGTCTCTCTCCTAGCCTGCTACAGAGACTGAGGAATCTGCATATTCTAGAAGGTGCAGATATACTCCATCCACCTAACTCTTAAGTGGTTGTGTGGAGAATTTCCTACCATGTGAAATATAGCAAAAGTGTAGAAATAAATCTTTGTTGTGTAAAGCCACTAAGATTTGGGAGTGCTTTGTCACTGCAGCAAAATCTGACTTCTACTGGCTGGCATAGTCATACAATATGAAAAATTGCTGTTACCTGTCAACATTCAATATGTGGTAAGAAGGCATTGTAATTAAAAGTGTGGATCATGCAGCCAGAGTACATGAATTCAAATCCAAGTAAGTTCTGCCATTCATAAACTCATGGCCTTGGCAAGTAATTTAATTGCTTGGTGTCTCAGATTCCTCATAGGTCAAATGAGAATGATAAAATTACTTCATAGGAGCTTGAGTGAAACAAAATGAGTAACACATTTTATAGCATTTAAAACAAGGCCTGGAACATGAAAACACTCAATGAATATTAGCTATTCATATTTTTAGTCCATACTGAATTGACTTCAATTCCAATTAGCCTAGGAGGTTAACCAAAAACAGCCAAAAGAAAATTCCCACATATGTCCCCCAACAAAATTCACAAAGGCACTCTTCATGTCTCTGTAGGTAAAGGAAAGGAAATGAGAAGTTCATGGAACATACAGAGGTGTTCTGCACCTTTTGACTCTCTTTGTCTCTTTTCCTCCTTTCTCAGACCTGTGGAGAGTTGCAAAGAAGAGCCTTTCTCTACACCAGTGAAAACACATAGAGGATATATTCCCTAATGGAGGCACACGGCCTATTTTTGAACAGCTTACAAGCTAAAAATGCCTTTTTAAAAATATTTCTAAAGGGTTGTTAAAACACACACACACACACACACACCACCAACAACAAAACAGACTGTGTGGCAGAGACTATATGTGAATTACAAAGACTAAAATATTTATTTTATTACAGTCCTTTACAGAAAAAGTTTGCCAATCCTGCTGTATTGTAAACACCCCAATCCCAACTCAGCTCATCTTAAGAGATGGGGAAAAGTTAGGACTCTATTAATTCCTACACCCACTCTCCAGTCATCTTCCCTTCCATTCTCATTTTACCATGCTAATGAAATCTATGAATAGAAAAGAAAAAAAAAAAACACTAAAGGGCCGCCTAAGCTAAGAGTGAAATAAAAGAGAGAGGAAGTCTCAGCCTTTTATAGGGAGGAGAACTGAAGAATTTTACTGAAATATATATATATTTTACTGAAATATATATATTTATATATAAAAATATATACATATTTACTGAAATATATATATCTATTTCCTTTTTAGTATGAATTAGCTAATGCACCTCTTTCTTCCCATCTGTTTATAAACTCATGGTGCCCTGAAGGCAAGTGCCCAAATTAGCAGACCCTAGCAATAGCCCGGCCTCCACTTTTCTAATTCTTTTCAATTCATTCTTTATTGAGCTGGGGTTTTGAACTACTGGAATTAGTATTCTCCCCTCCCTCCCTCAACCCCTGAATGCATTTTATTCTTTCATCAAGAATGGATTGTCAAAAGCAGTGGCTAAGAAACAGGGTTCCAATAATGTCTGCTTGACAGTAATGACAGGAGAGAGAACTAAGGCAAGCCTCCCCTCCTTTCCTCATCATCTTGACATTCAAGTAAGAAATATAATGAATGACAAGCTTATTAAAAATAAATAGCAAGTCATCAAGACTTTACAAAGGTAATAATTAAGGCACATTGACCCTTGGGTTAAATTTTGTCTGACAGCTAATAACCATCTGGAAAGGCAGAGGGCACAAGACAAGGCCTAAGTTATTAAGCTACCCCAGTTGGAGCCACTTCAACCTCATTTCTTTCCCACCAGGAAAATCTGTTTCCATGACCCCTAACTTTATCCCAACCATTCCTTCCTTGTTCACACCCTTACTTTTGCTGGAAATAGTCTTTTTTTTTTCACTCTGTTGAACCATTCTGTTTTCACTGCCTTATTAACTCTCAACTAAGAATTTCCAGCGTAGGTCTGAATAACAGCTCCCAGTTAAATATTCTGATCCTATGACAAACACCGTATTGATGGTTGTTGACACTGACAAAGCTCTGGAAACCTTCCCCTCAACAACCTATAAAGGAGACTCTTGAATTATATATCTAGCATTGCTTTGAAAGTATATCATTTCTGATATTGTATCACTTCTTGGAGTATCTTTAGGTTGTTGTCTATCTTATAGCATACTTGCTTCCTACACACTTTGTTCAAGATCCAGTTTAAAGTCACTTCCCCTGTAGAGTGTTCCTTGAAAACTTCAGGAGAGATTTCTCCTTTCTATAAGCTCCTTAATATTTGTTGTCTCACTATAAATCATATACAGTACCAATTATATTCTGTAATATATCATATAATATCACCTTACTTTATTTAATTTGCATCATTTTTTAGTGTTTTACTCATCTCCAAAATCAATAGGAAGCTCTAAGAGCCATGTCTCATGCCATCCATATTCCCCAGAGCCAGGTAGAATGCTTCATACATAACAGGTGCTAAGTAAATGTTTGCAAACTAGATTGATTGCATAATGAGCTCATAAGCTAGGACTGCCTTGTGTGCAAAGTTGGACTTCTTTTAATTATATTAACGTGTTTCCCAAAAGTTGAACATTGATATCACCTAAAGAACTTTTAAAAATTGAGTTGACAAGGTTGTGTCTAATATCAGTTTGATCAAAACCCTGGGAACGGAGCCAAACATCAGTATTTTAATGTGATTTTGCTCCAGAAGATTTCAATGTCCAGTAGAGTTTGGGGCCATGCATATATTAACCTTAACTACAGAGCTAGAACTTCTACTTAACTCTGTGTCTTAACTTTCACTTTAATACTTATGGAGTCCCAACCAAGTGCTAGATGCTGCATTTGGTGCTGGGTATATAGTGGTGAACAAAACAGACATAGCCCCAGCATTCATGGAGCATACAATCTGGTTAATCTAATAAGCCTACAACTCTTTCTTTTGCTAGCACTCCTCTAGTGGGTTAATGCTGTCAATGATTAGTTTAGGGAGTGCACCATTTATATTTATTGAGAATAGTTTTTGTTTGTTTGTTTGTTTGTTTTGAGACGGAATCTCGCTCTGTTGCCCAGACTGGAGTGCAGTGGCGCCGAACTCGGCTCACTGCAAGCTCCGCCTCCCCGCCTCTGGAGCTCATGCCATTCTCCTGCCTCAGCCTCCTGAGTAGCTGGGACTACAGGCGCCCCCCACCACACCTGGCTAATTTTTTTTTGTACTTTTTACTAGAGATGGGGTTTCACCGTGTTAGCCAGATGGTCTCGATCTCCTGACCTCATGATCTGCCCGCCTCGCCTTCCCAAAGTGCTGGGATTACAGGCGTGAGCCACCGTGCCCGCCAGAGAATAGTTTTATCAATAAGATAATGCACTTTCTCCTTTTGTTTTAAACACTCTTGAGGCAACCATGGGCTCTGACTTTAGTTGCAAGATCCACAAAGAATACAAACATATTACACAGGTAAACGGTAAAAAAATTAATGACAAAGATGGTGAAAATGCTGACTGTGATTGTGGTGGTGATAGAAGTGGTGATTTTTTTTATGCTGACAAATAAAAAAATCTTTTGAATTTCAATTTCTAATTGGATCTAGGCAAAAGAGGCAAAAGATCTAGCCAATATGTTGTGAATCCTTTTTGAATTCCCCAGAGAAACAGAAATACAATGAGTTTGCATTAAACCTTGAATTAAAGCAATTAGTATTTTACAAGCTTTATTTACTGCCCTTAGGGGAAATGAATTAGATGGATAAATGTAGAATTGATATACTGAAATGTTGTCTGCCTTATTGAGGGTATGATGCAAGCATACTAATTGGAAGGCTGCTCTACAGTGAATCCATTGAGAAGACAAAAACTAAATTATATTAACCCAAATTATCAGATTTTCCTGATCTTGGGTCCTTAACCACTCATGACTCTTTGACTAATTTAGCCTCCTCCAGTTCATTTTTATACTTCTGATTATTTTCCACTGCAATGTTCTGGAAGCCCATTTCAGATGCTCTCTGCTTCAGAAGGGAGGCTGCAAAAACCGGAGGAAGAATCTGGTGCCAGATCATTTTGCTAATGGAAGATAATTATTGTGATTATCTCATCCTTGCTTAAAAGCTCTAATGGTAGCAAGCAGCCTCTCTGACAGGGTGAAGTTTCAACCAAAATATGTTGACTCTCTTTGTGGAAAAACTTGTCATATTCCTCTGAATGAGGAAAGACTACAGATAATTCTTCAGTAATACTCTTAAGAGAAGGCTATATAGCATAACAGAAAGAGGACTTACCTGGATCATCATATTTGATAATTTCTAGCTCTGGCTGACCACCAGGTTGCTACATGACCTTGATTGATTCCTGAAATCTGAGTTTTATTTTCCTCCCTCGTAATAGAAGGGGTACTGGCAAGAAAAAAAAATGACATAATGGACATGAGCAGTATCTGAGAACCATGATGTGATTGTATGAATTTATTATAATTATTCATAAAAATTATAAAATTATACAGAATATATTTTATAGATTTAAGGGATGTTATTGATACCTGGTGTCTTTTTCTAGAGCAAATGTTCTAGCCTCTCTGCTTACCTAATCAAGATGAACATTTCTATATTCAGTGGGCAAAAATCACATCTCTATTCTTTAAAAGGTATGTACCCTTGGAAAAGTTACTTAAACCTCTTGTAGCTCCAGTCACATTATCATTAAAATAGGAATTATTCCTACTTTGGAAAAGGCTGAGATTCTTTTTGTGAAGATAATATAATATTGATACCAAAACCTGACAAAGATAGTTCCCCACACCTTCAAAAAAAAAAAATCTTTGCCACATTTTTTACATATAAATACTGATGCAAAGAAATTTAAGGTATTAATCCTATGGTATGTCAGAAGTATAAAACACACAATGACCACATTTAGTTGGTAAAATAAATATCTAATGCAAGCCAGAAAATCATAAAAAAATAAATGAATTGGACTAACTTCATCCAAAAATACAACCTTTTTAAAGCTAAAAAAAAATTCAAAAGAATTTAGTGCTGACTCAGGAAAATAAGTTGAGCAGAATTTTAATAAGCATTGGACTATGAATAAATAGTCCAGAAATTGTCCAAAAGATATGCAGAAATTTATATCATAAAGGTGATTTCTAAGTACGGGAGAAAATGATACTAGATGGATGATGTCAGACAATTGTTCATCTATCAAGGGGAGATAGAATTAGAAGAACTATAGTTACAGCCAGACCACACTATTTATATTGAAAATACCTAAAAGCTTTTCAAGTAAATGAGAAATAAAACATGTAAAAAGTAAAAATAAACACATTATAGGAAATCATTTAATATTTTTATAGTTTTGGTGAGGGACTTTACATTATTTAAACAGATGCCATAAAAATGTTTACATAAGCTTCATAGTAACCACAAAATTAAAGTCTATAGTAGACACACAAAAGATAAAAGGAATCAAAGTGCAACTCTGTAGGAAATCATCAAGTCACAAAAAAGAACAGAAAGAAGAAAGGATCTACAAAACATCCAGAAAACAATTAACAAAATAACAACAGTAAATCCTTACCTATTACAATTACTTTAAATGTAAATGGACTAAATTTTCCAATGAAAAGAAAAAGCCAGGTGTGATGGTATACATCAGTAGACTCAGCTACATGGGAGGCTGAGGCCAGAGGACCACTTGAGCCCAGGAGTTCAAGTCCAGCATGGGCAACTTGAGCCCAGAAGTTCAAGTCCAACCTGGGCTTCCTCTGCAAAAGGACATCCCATCCTGGAAAAAAAAAAAAGAAGAAGCTGAAAGGATTCTTTTTAAAGCTGCAACTGTATGTTCCTCACAAGAGACTCACTTTGCCTTTAAGGACATGCATGGTCACAAAGTAAAGGGAAAAGTAAATGGAAAACAAAAGAGAATAAGACTAGCTATACTTGAACAAAACAGGCTTTAAGTCAGAAACTGTAAAAAGAGACACAAAAAGGTTGCTATATAATGATACAGGGTTGATTCATTAAGAGGATGGAACAATTATAATATATGTGCACCCAACATGGCAGCACCTAAATATATAAAGCAAATATTTACAGATCTGAAAGGAAACATAGACATCAGTACAGTGATAGTAGGGGATGTCACTTGTAACAGTGAATAGATTACTCAGACACAAAGAAAATAGGAAACATTGGACTTTGATATGATTTGGATATTTATCCCCTGCAAATCTAATGTTGAAATGTAATCCCCAGTATTGGAGGTGGGGCCTCATGGGAGGTGATTGGATCATGGGGACAGATCCTTCATGAATGGTTTAGCACCATCCGTTTGGTGATAAGTTAGTTCTCACTCAGTTCACAAGAGATCTGTTTGTTTAAAAGTGTGTGGCACCTCCTCCCTCACTCTCTTGCACCCATTCTTGCCATGTGAAATGATTGCTTCCCATGACCTGCCACTATGATTGTAAGCTTCCTGAGGTCCTCACCAGATGCAGATGCCAGCACTATGCTTTCTCTACAGCCTGCAGAACCAAGAGCCAATTAAACTTCTTTTCTTTATAAATTATACAGCTTCAGGTATTCCTTTTTAGCAAAGAAAGAATGGCTTAATTCAGACTTGAGCTACATTTTAGACCAAATGAACCCCACACACAAATAGAGAACATTTCGTTTAACAGCAGCAGAATACACATTTTTCTGAAATTAACATGCAAAATTCTTTAGGATACGTCACATATTAGACTCCAAAATAAGTCTTAACAAGTTTAAGATGATTGGAATCATATCAAATATTTTTTCCAATCGCAGTAGTATGAAACTAGAAATCAATTACAGGAAAAACCTTGAAAATTCACAATTATGTGGAAATTAAACACCATTCTCCTAAACAATCAACAGGTCAAAGAAGAAATCAAAAAGGAAATTTTTTTTAAATCTTAAGACAAACATAGAAACACAACATGCCCAAACTAATGTGATGTAGCAAAAGCAGTTCTAAGAAAGAAGTTTATAGTGATAAATGCCTACATTAAAAAGAAATATCTTGAATAAACAACCTAATGTTGTACTTCAAGGAACTAGAAAAAGAACAAACTAAGCCTAAAGTTAGTAAAAGGGAAAAAATGAGGATTAGAACAGAAAAAATAGAGACCATAAAACAATAAAACATTAAAAAGTTTAGAGATGGTTATTTGAATAGATAAACATAATTGACAAGTCATTAGCTGGACTTAAAAAAAAAGAGAAGACTCAAAATCAGAAATGAAAGAGGGGACATTACAACTGATATTGCAGAAATACAAAGGATCATAGGAGACTTGCAATGAACAATTATACATCAACAAATTGGATAACCTAGGAGAAATGAATAAATTTAGTTTTGAAACATGCAACCCACTAAGACTGAATCATGAAATTGAAAACCTGAGAAGACTGATAATAGGTAAGGAGATTGAATCAGTACTGAAAGATCTCCCAAAGATAAATGCAGAAACTGATGGCTTCATGGCTGAATTATACCAAACATTTGAAGAAGAACCAATATCAGTTTTTCTCAAACTTTTTAATACAAATTGAAGAGGAGGGAATACTCCCAAACTCATTTTACAAGCCACCATTACCCTGAAATTAAAGCCAGAAAAGGGCACTGTAAGAAAAGGAAATTATAGACCAATATATTCCTAATTAACACAGAAGCAAAAGACCTAAATAAAATATTAGCAAACCAGATTTAACAGCATAGTAAAAGGATCATACACCATGATGAAGTGGGATTTATCCATGGAATACAAGGTTGGTTCAACAAATTCAAATCAATAAATGTGATAAACTATATAAACACGATGAAGAACAAAAACCACAAGATCATCTCAATACATGCTGGAAAAGCATTTGACAAATTTCAACATCACTTCGTGATTAAAAACTCACAACAAAATAGGGATAGGATGAATGTATCCCAACACCATGAAGGCCATGTATGATAACCCCACAGCTATCATTCTCAACAGTGACAAATTGAAAGCCTTTTCTTTAAGATCAGGAACAATATAAGGATGCTCACCCTTATGCTTCTATTTAACATAGTACTTAAAGTCCTAGGCAGAGGAAATAGCTAAGAAATAGAAGGCATCCAGATTGGAAAGGAAGAAGTTAAATTGTTCTCATTTTCAAATGACCTGATCTTATATATAGAAAATGCTTTTAGAATAAGCAAACATTGTTAGAATTAACAAATTCAGTAAAGTTGCAGGATATAAAAATCAACATACAAAGATCAGTTTTATTTCTATATACTAACAATGAACTATTTAAAAAAGAAATTCCACTTACAATGTCAAAAATAATACTTAGGAATAAATGTAACCAAGGAAGTAAAAGGTATGTACACTAAAATCTATAAAACATAGATAAATAAATTATAGAAAACACAAATAAATGGGAAGATATTCAGTCTTCATGGATTGAAAAGATATTGTTAAGATGTTCATATTAGCCAAAGCAATCTACATATTCAGTGTATACCTATCGAAATTTAAATGGCTTGTTTTACAGAAATAGAAAAAAACTAAAATTCATTTGGAACCACAAGAATTCAAATAGCTAAAGCAATCTGGAGCAAAAAACAAAGCTGGAAGCATTATACTTTGATTTTAAACTATATTACAAAGCTATAGTAATAAATATAGTATGTTATTGACTTAACAACAGACACATAGGCTAATGGAAGAGAATAGAGTCCAGAAATATTCATGTATGTACCAGCCAACTACTTTTTGACAAAGGAACCAGAAGTACACAATGGGGAAAGCATAGACTCTTCAATAAATGATGTTGGGAAAACTGGATATCTACACACAAAAGAATGAAATGACCCTTCTCTTAAACTGCATACAAAAATCAATTCAAAATGGATTAGAGATGTAAATGTAAGACTTGAAACCATAAAACTCCTAGAGGAAACATCAGGGAAAAGATTATTGACATTATTCTCAGCAATTATGTTTTAGATTTGATACCAACAGCACATGCAACAAATGCAAAAACATATATGTGAGACTACATGAAACTAAACATTTCTACAGAGCAAAGGAAACATTCAATACAATGAAAAGGCAACCTATAGAATGACATAAAATATTTGTAAACCATATATCTGATAAGGGATTCAGATCTAAAGAACCTATACAACTTAATAGCCAAAAAACCAAACAATCCTATTTTTAAATGGGCAAAGGAACTAAATAAACATTTCTCAAAAGAAGACATGCAAATGGCTAACAGGTATATAAAACATGCTCAATATCATTGATCTTCAGGGAAATCGAAATCAATAGCACATTAAAATATCACCTCACAACCTGTTCGGATGGCTATTAACAAAATGTCAAAGATAGCAAGTATTGGTGAAGATACATGAAAGGGAACCCTTGTACACTATTGGTGGGAATGTAAATTGGTATAGCTGTTTATGGAAAACAGTTTAGAAATTCCTCAAACACTTAAAAAGTGAATTACCACATGACGCAGCAATCTATTTCCAGGTACAGAGCCAAAAGAAATATATCTTTACAGGATATCTGCATTCCCATGTTCAATGCAGTGTCACAATAGCCAAGATATGGAAACAACCTAAGTGTCCATTGATGGATGAACAGGTTAAAAAATATGGTTTTATACACAGACACACATGATACAGGAATAATATTTGGCCTTTAGAAAGAAAGAATTCCGACCACTTGCCAAAACATAGATGAACCTTGAAGACATTAGGGCTAAGTGAAATAAGCCAGACTCAGAAAAATACTGCATAATGTCACTTGTACATAGAATCTTAAAAAAAAAATTTAAGTCTAGCTTATAGTAACAGAGAGTAGGGGTTACACGGAGCTGGAAGGTAGAAGAAAGGGGAACTATTGGTCCAAGAGTACAAAACCTTCAGCTATAAGACAAATAAGTAATGGAGACCTAATGTACAGCAGGTTAACTATAGTTAATATAATGTATATTTGAACCTTGCTAAGAGGAGGTCTCAAGTATTCTCACCACACACACACACACACACACACACACACACACACACACACACCCCACAAAGGAACAATGTAAGGTGATGTTATTTAGCATGATTGTGGTGATTATTTTGCAGTGTATACATATGTCAAAATATCCCATTTTTTGTATATTCTAGATAGATGCAAAATTGATGCAATTTTTCACCCCATCAATCATAGAGAATAAAGGATGCATACTTCATTTGTTAATCATATCTCAATAAAGCTGGAAAGAAAATAAATTCAACACAATAATGAAAAAAGGTTTAAAATACTGGGAAAATACCATGAAACAAATTTGAGAAATATTTCTAACACACATCCCTGTAACACAGGGCCTAAGCTTTTTTAGTATACAAAGAGCTTTCACAAACAAGGAAGACAAAGATAAGTAACTTAATAAAAACAAAACAAAGTACACAATAAGGCATTTCACAAAAAAAAATGCAATTGGCCAATAAGTGTTTGTACCTTTAAGAATTTAAATCATTAAAATACATTTTCTACCTATTAGCATAATATAGATTTAAAGGTTTAATGATACCCAGTATTGACTAGCTTGTGAGACATAAACCACAAAGGGAAATAGGTTTGTCAGAAAATATTGCTTGCATATTGGTGGAAATGTAAATTGGTACATTTTAGGAAAATACAAGTCTCCCCTACTTCATCTAATTTCACTTTCTGCAGTTTCAGAAAATTACCTGCAGTCAACTGTGGTCCGAAAATACCAAATGGAAAATTCCAGAAATAAGCAATTCTTAAGCTGTAAAGTGTGTGTGCAGAATAGCATGATGAAATCATACACTGTACCATTCCCTCCCGACTGGGATGTAATCCATCCCTGTGCCCAGTGGACCCATGTTCTCTACAGTAGCCACCTGTTAGTAACTTAGTAGCCGTCTCAGTTATTAGATCCATTGTGGCAGAACTGCAGTGCTTGGTTACAAGTAACCTTTATTTTACTTAATAATGGTCCCAAGGCACAAGAATAGTAATGCTGATAATTTAGATATGTCAAAGAGAAGCCATAAAGTTCTTCTTTTAAGTGAAAAGGTGAAAGTTTGACTTTTTAAAAAGAAAAAGTTATATGCTGAGGTCACTGCAATTTTGAAGAAGGAAAAGAATTCACACATAGTATATACATGGTTCATTACTACCTGAAGTTTCAAGCATTCACTGAAGGTCTTGGAACGTATCCCCTGTGGATAAGGGGGAACTATGGTACCATTTTTAAATATTAAAATGTGTGTATTTTTCATCCTAACAATCCTGCTTCTAGCCATTTACTCTCACTGGAAAGGACACATAGGTATGTCCTGCATTAGCTCTTAGGAATTGGTCTGCAAATGGATAGACATAGTAGAGGCAATTTTGCTTTTCAATCTTATAATGCTCTTTATAATTTTTTCTTTTACGTGTTGCTTATGTATGAATAATCTATTTTAAAAAAAAAAATGGTTACAGAAATTAAGACAATGCCACCATCTTAAAGAGATTTTATGAAGATTAGTGGTAATCTATGTAATATACCCAGAAACGTACTTGGCATATAGTTAAGTGATCAAAAGAAAGGATGGCTGTTACTTATATTTTCTTTTGTGAAAAAGAAACATTCTTGCTGTCTCCCTTCCTTTTTCCTTCTTATTTTCTTAGATGACCATCTAGCAAAGCCTTAAAATGCGTCCCATTCCTTTGTCTAAGCAATGTAACCTCATCAAATCTGGGACATAAGCAGAACTGTGGAATAGAGATACTAGAGTTGGAAGAATCTTAGAAAATATCTAGCTAGACTCTTTTGTTTGATTTTAAATAGTTAATATATTTCCAGAAAAGGAAAGTGACTTGCTTGAGTACTCAGCTGTTTGAGGTTAGGTAGATCCAGAACATACACCAATAGAGTATTCTGTTGAGGGAGGAGAAGGGAATGTTTAAAAGTTTTTAATGTTCTTGAAAATAAATGGGACTAACTTATATGTGGGGCAGCAGGGACAAGTGAAAAGGAATATACAGTTGACCCTTGAACAATGTGGAGGTTAGAGCACCAAACCCCCTTTCCCTAGGCAGTCAGAAATCTGCATGTAAATTTTGATTCCCCAAAACTTCACTAATAGCCTACAGCTCACTGAAAGCCTTACTGATAACAGTTACCAAATATTTCGTATGTTATATTTCTTATATACTGTATTCTTACAATAAAGTAAGCTAGATAAAAGAAAATGTTAAGGAATTCATAAGGAAAATAAAACATATTAACTATTCATTAAGTGAAAATGGATAATCATAAAGGTCTTCATTCTCCCTCATCATTTTCGGGTAGGCTAAGGATGAAGAGGAAAAAGAGGGGTCAGGTCTTGCTGTATCAGGGGTGGCAGAGGTAGAAGTAGTAGAAGGAGAGGCAGGCACACTTGGTGCAACCTTTATTAAAAAAAAAAAATTGCATATAAGTGGACCCCCGTAGCTCAAACCTATGTTATTCAAGGGTCAACTGTGAAATCAACTTATAAGTGCTGTGTACTATTATTAATTGTTCTATTAATAATAATACACAGTTCTAAAATATAATGGCCATCAAGTAAAAGCAAGTCAACCTGGGGAGCCCAAAGGAAGTGCTCTTCCTACGGTAGAGATAAATAAAGATGAAGGGGACTAAAACCTCAAAGGCACTTTCTACTTCTTCTTTAGAATCCCAGTGACAGAGTAAAGGGCACGCAACTGAAAATCCAGAGTCCCAGGACCTAACTCTTTCTAGCTCCTAATTCGCTTTAGAATTTTCTTAGTCACTAAACCAGAAAAGAGCTTTCTACTTCATGGTCCTGTTTTAAGGGTCAAATAAAATAGTTTGCTAAAGTGCTTTATAGGGACAAAGTGCTTTACAAGGGATTATTCAAATGTAAGATATTGTCAGTGGTCAGCTTTCTTTTCTAGTTATGTGTTGCCTTTACTAAGCAAACTCATTTAAAATAGCACACAAAGATGCATCCTATTTTCATAAAGTGTGGATACATAGATTGCACAAACCAAAGGAAGGCTGTTTGCCTGCAGTGCAAAGGATAATGCCCCAAAGGAAGCAGGCTGAAGCGTGAGCTCAGTAAATATTCTGACGTACGCCAACACTGGGTGCTCTCAGTCAGCTGGCTGGCAATGCTGTTTTTGAGATTTGAACAGCCTACAGTCTTCAGCTGTCAGAGTTATTAGTGTCTCTCTGAGAAGGGCATGAAAAGATGCTCCCACATATCCAAAATGGCCTCTCTTGAAGCCCCAAAAGGCTGATTTTAGTGTTGGAGAAAAAAAACACCCTATTGCAAATAATTCAACAGCCATCTCTACAAATCTTTAGTTGTAGCTGAGGAAATAAAACCTAAATTTATTGACTTAGAATTAACAAGAGGTTGAGTTTCATTCAGCATGACTTTTAAGTTCTATTTTATAGTATATTTATTTTGTGTTTACCATGAATATCGTAGGTAGTGATCCTACTGGTAGCTTCCTAATCGAGGGAGAATGATGAACAGTTTGGATTTTTGATTTTGTTTTTAAAGAATTTCTGTGTTTGAAATGTTGTTCATACCATCTCACTTTTTGATGGTTTGGGGCTATAGAAGGTTAGGTTCAAGTCACTGTCCCTCCACCATTTGGAAGCATTTCCGCCTTGTGTTCTGGCCTCCATTTTTTGCAGTGAGAAAGTTTAGTTTTACTCTCATTTTGACTCTTTGTATAAAATTGTCTTTGTTAAGCTATTGTTATATTTGTAGTTGCTTTTTAATCTCTTGAAAATTTTAGGATCTTAGCATATTCTCTCATGTCCTGAAATTATACCACACTGTGAATTGCTGGGTGTCCATTTTCAAAAAAAATTGCTGTTCATGTGGTAGGCCATTTCAGTAAGGAAACTCATGTTCCTCAACTCTAGAAATTTTTTCTACATTGTGTATCATTTTCTCCCGTCAGTTTTTCTCTTTTCCTTTTCTGAATATTACTCCTTAGATAGTGAACCTATTAGAATGCTCCTATACTTTGACAGTTTCCTTACTTCTTATAATTACCTGTGTTAGTGTTAATACCTATTAATATTGTTTACTTTCTAAGTTATTCTCAGCTTTGTCTTCTTACCCTCCTACTGATTTTTATAAATTTCTGCTACTCTATTTTTGAAACCTATTTTCAGCCAGGCAGGGTGACTTATGCCTGTAATCCCAGCCCTTTGGGAGGCCAAAACAGAAGGATCACTTGAGTCCAGGAATTTGAGGCTGCAGTGTGCTATGAACATGCCACTCTACTCCAGCCTGGGTAAGAGAGCAAGACCCCATCTCTAAAACAATTTCTTTTAATCCTATTTTCTCTAAAAATACCTTTTAAATAGAATATACAATATCTGTGATCTCCAAACTGGATGCTATCTTTTTGAGAATGCTAGTGAAGTTGTTTCTCTGTGTATTTGATTGTTGTGTGTTAATCTGCCATATGTGATGCTGGTTTTGCTAAAAACATGACTGAAGATCCTTGGCTATCTGTTCGTATAAGAGAGTGGATCATTCAGAAGCTGAGTAGTAATCAGCTCCTTCAGTAATTATTTTTTTTGTGTGTTAGATAACCAAGGAGAATATCGTGTTAGTCAGATAACCAAGGAGAATATCACGTTAGTCAGATAACCTAGGAGAATATCATGTTAGTCAGATAACCAAGGAGAATATCATGTTAGTCAGATAACCTAGGAGAATATCATGTTAGTCAGATAACCAAGGAGAATATCATGTTAGTCAGATAACCAAGGAGAATATTTCAATCTCTGCTTGAAGGGAATTAGAATAGCTGCAACTATTCCTAGAGCCCAGTGAGGGAAGAAATTTGGGAATTTCAACGTTCCTAACAACATTCTACATCATCCTGTGTTATCAGTAAGGTAACCATAACCTCAGCTGTGATATGTTCCCAACACAGGCTATTCTTTCTCCTGAAAATAAACCTCTGCTCCTTTTATTTGGGGTTGAGGAAGGAAGTCTTTCAGGTGGAAAGAGTGATATGTGGACTGGGGATGGTGGCTTACGCCTGTAATCCCAGCACTTTGGGAGGCCGAGGCAGGCGGATCACGAGGTCAGGAGATCCAGACCATCGTGGCGAACACGGGGAAATCCCGTCTCTACTAAAAATATAAAAAATTAGCCAGGCGTGGTGGCGGGTACCTGTAGTCCCAGCTACTCGGGAGGCTGAGGCAGGAGAATGGCGTGAACCTGGGAGGCAGAGCTTGCAGTGAGCCGAGATCGCGCCACTGCACTCCAGTCTGGGCGACAGAGCAAGACTCTGTCTCAAAAAAAAAAAAAAAAAAAAAAAAAAAGAGTAGTATGTAGGACATGAGATCTGAACTACTAAACATCAGACTTTCAGCCTATCCTGTTTTCAACCCCACCATTACCTTCACTTTCTTTTTTTTATTATTATTATACTTTAAGTTTTAGGGTACATGTGCACAACGTGCAGGTTTGTTACATATGTATACATGTGCCATGTTGGTGTGCTGCACCCAGTAACTCTTCATTTAACATTAGGTATATCTCCTAATGCTATCCCTCCCCCATCCCCCCACCCCACAACATGCCCCAGTGTGTGATGTTCCCCTTCCTGTGTCCATATGTTCTCAGTCATAGGTGGGAATTGAACAATGAGAATATCCTCACTTTCAAATGTACCTGATGGTACCAATTTCTGTGCCTTAAAGGGGCCTGCAATACAAATCAAAATCTCAGCTTCTCCCCCTGCTTGCTTACAGCCCCCTTTCTAAGGTCTGCTAAATCACTTGCCCCATGTCCAGAAGCTCCTGTTTCCAATATTTTTTATGCTTTTGTCTTTGCTCATGTTCTTTGTCCTTCAAGGTTTCAATCTGTTTTTTTAATCCCTTAACTATTTTAGTTAGATTCTCAGAGGACAAGGAGATAAATGCTCGTGTTTGATCCATCATATTTAATCAGAACTGAAGGAGAAATTTTGAAGGCAGTTAAAGGGTGAGGAAAAGATCAAGCCTCCTATGAATCATAATCCCTAAACATCATCTATAATACTCATTAAGCAATCTTTTTTCCTTTAAAATAACTCAATACTTTTCTAGCTATATATTTTACCATATCCCTGCAGAAACAGCCAAATTTCAGTTTTAAAGTGCCACACTCTTGAAGGAGATCATATTCAAATGAAGGTCATAAATAATGGCTTAAGAGTTCCCAGATTCTCCAAGAGGAAGTTAAAGAAAACACTGCCTCTTTGCCAATAAATATTTAAAGGTACTGTTAAAATGATGAAGTTTAAAATGCCATAAGAAATTATATCAAGATATAAATATTTTCTATCTAACAGCTGGACAGTGTGCTTCAGATGATCTGTTTTGGGTTTTAAATAAAGGGAGAACAAAATGTAGACAGCACAAATATCTGGTATATGAAAATAGGTCTTCCGTAAGTTGACCTTCTCACCTCCAACAATAACAACAACAACAAAGGCATTGGGAGTTTTCATTTTTGCTGAAGATCTGAACTTTCTTCCCTGCCCACACTGAGATTGAAACATGAGAGGCAGAAGGCTGTGCACAAAAGCCATTCTCACTGCAAACTCCAGATTTATGACACCCCTTTTACTATGGCATACCCTGGGGCCAATGGGGCATTTCAATAAGTTAAATTAAAACCACTGACTTCAGGAAATGAAATTTATGTAAACAACAGCATTAAACAGCCTTGACTGACACAGGGGAATTATTAGTGTTGGGCATTTGTTTTTCCCTTTATTTTCCTCTAGCTTTTCCCTGTCAAAAGCTTGGCATGTACCTTCCTCATTAGTAAAAGATGAGAAAACATGGGGCATACAGAGAGATTCTGATCTTATTATATTGCAAGGCTATTATTCATTTTGCCAAGGGTTCAGGCCCTAAATCCTGAGGCTGTCCAAACACCCAAGAAGAGCTCTCACCAATCAATGTCCATGCACAGTCTGTCTTTCAGCTCCCACACAACATGTTAAGACATAGTCTCGTATCCAGAATGACAATAAACAGCACTTGTCAAAGAAAGTCACTCATACAGGGCCACCACACTCTCTGGCTAGCCAGCACCAAGGTTGGAAGAAGCAGGGCGACATCCAGCAAGATTTCAGAACATAGCTGATATAGTTTGGCTGTGTCCCCACCCAAATCTCGTCTTGAATTGTAGTTCCAATAATCCCCATGTGTCATGGGAGGGACTCAGTGGGAAGTAATTGAATCATGGGGCTGGTTAACCCAGTGCTGCTGTTCTTGTGATAGCGAGTGAGTTCTCACAAGGTCTGATAGTTTTATAAGGGACTTTTCGCCCTTTTGCTCAGCACTTCTCCTTACTGTCACCATGTGCAGAAAGACGTGTTTGCTTCCCCCTCTGCCATGATTGTAAGTTTCCTGAGGCCTCCCCAGCCATACTGAACTGTGAGTTAATTAAACCTCTTTCCTTTATAATTTACCCAGTCTCAGGCATGTCTTTATCAGCAGCGTGAGAACGGACTAATTCAACGGCTCTACAAAATATGGCTCATCCTGTTGTTTTGTGATCCCTGAACATCCATGCAGGTGAGTTGCAAAGATAAATCTGTCTTGACAAGATGGTGCTAATTGTCCCCAAAGTAAAATATATTTTATTATGACAGCTAATTTGAAGAACTGCTGAATATGTCCTAGAACAGAGAGCTAAAAATCATTAAAATGAACAGTTTACCCTATTTCTCCTTATGTAGGGAGTTATGACTAACAGGCAAAATCCTAAACAAGCTTCTCCAAAATCTACATTATATCTGAATGGAAGAACTGCCTAACAACTGAAGAGCCCTAATGTGGTTGTACTTACTCAAGGGATCGCTCTCTCATACACATACACACACACACACACAGAGCAATATTAATAGTAACATCTGTGAAAATAGAGAATAATGCAAATGCTTACATCCTTTTAAAACATATTATCTCCAGTGGACGAAATGATGATACTCAAAAATTGCTGAGATTACCATTCTCTTTTACTATCATTCCTCATCCAGTGGTTCCCTACATTTTCACTGCATTTCTCTAATAATTGTTCCTATTCAATTCTATACCATCTACTTACAAAGAATTATATCATTTTCAGATATTTAACATATCAAGGGTAAATGGAATGTTTAATTACTCTGAAAGCCAAGTACAAGGATATCCAGGTTGGAATAGTATAACCAAGTACCCTGTCTTCTTAAAAACAGCTTTTCCCGGCTGGGCATGGTGGCTTACACTTGTAATCCCAGCACTTTGGGAGGTTGAGGCAGGCAGATCACCGGAAGTCAGGAGTTCGAGACCAGCCTGCCCAACATGGCAAAACCCCATCTCTACTAAAAATACAAAAATTAGCTGGGTGTGGTGGTATGTGCCTGTAGTCCCAGCTACTCAGGAGGCTGAGGCAAGAGAATCACTTGAACCTGGGAGGCAGAGGTTGCAGTGAGCGAGATCATGCCACTGTACTCTACCCTGGGTGACAGAGCAAGACTCTGTCTCAAAACAAACTAACAAACAAACAAACAAATCCCTTTCTCCTTTTCTTGTTTTTCATGTGTGCTGACTCCTTACTTAGTACCTTAGGAATGTGATTATAACCTCTGCTCTTTTTCCACCAGTTACCCCTTGAGCTGCTAGCTTTTCTAACTACATGTTTGCTTAGAAGTTTCAGAGACTGAATCTTGAAATGATCCAGGTGCCTATGAAATTCTTCCCCACTAGATTACTTCAAGGCTGCAGTTAACTTACAACCTGCTTGTGCCTGCAGTGGCACCAGCCCATTCACCAGATAGGCAATAACTCACGATTAGTCATCAGAACAAGTCGTGTAGACCTGCACTGCCTCACCGCCCCTGCCCTCTGCATACCCCTCATGCCAAACTTCCCCTTTTAAACCCTTGATTTCTGCCCAAAATTTGAAGTTGCTCCATTAAGGCAGGAATCTGAACCATTTACCCCTTGCTAGCTTTGGAAAATAAAGTCTCTTTCTTCCTACTGAATCTCATCCTTGTTATTTGACTTTGCAAGTAGTGAGCATCTAAACCTGCGTTCAGTTACAACAGCACTACCTAACTGAAGAATCACAGTGAAATTATCCTAATAAAAAATAACCATCTTCCCTGAGGGCTCTCATACATTAAAAATGAATATATGGATGGAAGGATTCATCAATAAACAACAAATAAACAAATATTTCAATAATTCTAGGTAGTTGTGTCTTAAAATCTGAGTTACATTTTGTTTGATGCTTTAATTGACACAGAACCAAGCAGACTAGGATGAGACAACTGACTCTTGGAGTTAAAGGTAACCTAGAGAGTGACTATTCCAAGCTCCTAAGTTTACAAGGAAAGATGAAAATCTCAGAGAAAAAAAAAGGATTTACCTAAGATATAGAAATCTATCAATGGTAGAACAAGGATAGGTTCTAGTTCTTGTTTCTGATCATTCTAGTGTTTGATACTATGCCACAGTGTCCTGTCTCATAGTGACCTCTAAAATTTATCTCAATCTAGACCAAGGAAAGTCTACCATTTGGTAGCGTTCGTTTTGCCTCTTTCGGGGGAAACCTGGACAGCATTTACAAGAAGGGAAATCTCACATCTCCCTCAATCCCTTTTCTAATAAGGCCTAGCTATTGACATCTATGAATGCTACCACAAGAACTTCTGCTGGAATTAGGTCATTTCCAATGTCAGATTTGCAGAGAAGTCAGGAGACTGGATGAGGTCTCTGTTGATCATAGAGAGTTACAAGAGGATTATAATAGTTGTAAGCATTGTACTCATGAAAAGCTGTTTTCAATATCAGGAGTTGTGTAGTGGCATGGGGGAAACATTTTCCTGTTTTTTTTCTTTATGGTGGGAACTCTTTTTCAGGACATCCCAGCAAACTACTTTTTTAGTACCATTTGCCATAACTTTGTTGTGTGTCTACTAATAGGTTGATGATGAGAAGAGCCTTCCATTAAAGGCCACATTGTCAGAAAATCAGACTTCTTGAATGATGGAGTAAGAACCTCCAGAAATCTGTTCCTTTATAAAAAACAGTGAGACTACTGGCATTGTTATTTGTTATCAAATATATTCCTAAGTGACTGGAGGCAGATGAAGGTAGTGCTACTCATGAAATCTCAAAGTTGAAAGAGCAGAGCCCATCAATGGTACCAATGCAAAATTCATATGGTGCCAGCCTCAGAGTCATAAACAATTCTAACATAGACTTTTGAAGCTCTTTCCAAATAAAGTTGTTGATTTCAGATATATGTTTACAGGGTTTAAAGAGATATGTTTTATATTTTTAATTTCACAATCAAACCACTTAGAGTAGAATATGAAATTATATAAATTGAAACACTGTGTAAGTGGAACAATTTTATTGTGCTGTATTCTTTTAAGTGATAAAAGTTTCATTGTGGTGAATGTTAATATTCTAAACCTACCAGTTTAAGATAAACTTCTTTAGCATTTCCTCATTTATAATACACTAAATCTCAAAGCTGAAAATGCTGGGCCTCTCTTGACCCTTAAGAGACCCAGGGTCTCTGACTATATTCTCATATGTATTGGGTATTTTGGAGGCCCAGGAGAGAAGAGTTTAGTAAAATCAGGCACCATAGGCAAAGAATCAAAATATTCTTAAAGATTGCAATTACATGGCTTGGAAATTGAGCCTTCTAGAACCTTATTACTCAAAATATGGTCTGTAGACCAGCAGCCTCAGCATCTTCTGGAGGACTGTTAGAAATGCAGTATCTCAGACCCCGTTATGCAGATCTACTAAGTCAGAATCTGCATTTTATATGGATATACACACATATATTTTTTACAGACAAGGTCTCACTCTGTTGCCCAGGCTAGAGTGCATTGGTATAATCATAGCTCACTGCAACCTCAACCTCCCAGGCTCAAGAGATCCTTCCACTTCAGCCTCCAGAGTAGGTGGGACTACAGGTATGTGCCACCACACCCAGATAATTTTATATATATGTTGAAAATATACACATATATTGGAAATATAGGCCTTATTGAGTGGCCACACATCCACTATAACAAAGACCATGTGCTATGGCTATTCCTTCTAATTAAATGAGGTATTATGTAATATTATATGAGAGCTCCTGATGAGTGTTTTTTGATTACTAAGTGTGACTTGCTCATTTTTCCCGTTTAATTGTTTTGTACAGCCTCTATACCAACGAAGACAAAAAGATGTAAGAAAAAAAGTCCATGAGCCTCTGCTGCTGGGAGTCCTACCAGGTTCTTCAGTGCCGAGCTAATCTCCAGAAATGTCTTTATAAGGCCTTGCCCTCTGATGACTCCTGTTCTCAGATCTTATAATGCCTCTTAATCTTAACATGTATGCTTTTACATTTGTATTTAAAACTGGATTAAGGCAGGTTGGCAATTCACACTTCATGTATTTCTTAATGATAAAACATTATGCTCTGAGACTCTCCAAGTCTAGCTTTTGATGCTCAGAAGTCTGGCTCTTGCAGTTCAGAAACCTTGCCCTTCACATCTGTTCTCTTTGTAGCACATTTAAGGAACCTGCTATGACATGCTGAGGCTGAGCATCAATGCCTTTGTTCCTTTTTCAGACTCTTTTTCCCTAAAGCCACAAAAAGGTCCCAGAGGTTGGAGTGAGCTAATAGGGGATTGTGATGGGGAAACACAATGGCTAAAAATTTAAAATATATTATTTGGCTCTTACAAACTAAAGAGTCTCAGATTTATTTTAAAGTTACTGGATAACTTAGTAAGATCAGATAGAATTTAAACAAGGTAGTAGGAGGTCGCCATTCCTTTTCTTGTACGATACCAGCATATCTACCCTGGGGAAGGATGAACAGCACAGGCAAAGGCTTTTTGATACGTGAAGGATCTTTTTGTTATGTGTTTTGGAGATTTGGGATTTTCACCCTCTTCCCCCCATCCCACCCCCCAAAAAAGGTATGAATAGGTTTTTGTTGTTGTGTGCTTTTGTTTTTGTTTTTACCTTGGGTACAGGTTGTAGTAAATTTTCTTTTGTTTCAGGGAATTCAACAACCCCTTCTAGTGTATGTAGTTGCCTGGTATTCATACAGAGGCTATGGGAAATCATCTCTCTTAGCACAGCCTCTCATTCCAGGAGCAAATGAACCTTCTTGGCTGGAGAGGAGGGAGAGTGAAATGGGGAGCTGAGGTCTGGAGAAATGGACTTAGGACCCCTCTAAGAACTGAAGAATTATACTCCCAGAGGGAAATCAGGAGAATTGTGAATGGTATTTTGATATTGTTACCTTTTACATTTTATCTAAAGTAGGGGAACCTGGAACACTTTTGACCAGTCTTTGTGCTTGGTTTCCTGGTTTCTTGGTTTCTTATAAACATTTGCAGTTGAAATAATTGCAATGAAATCTGATCTAGGAAAAGAGGCTTCTCTAATTTGGGCAGCTCTGAAAATGGCCACTAAAGGTTCTGATCAGGGAATTGGGATCAAAACAATATTTTAAGGCTAATATCTCCCAGTTAAGAAAAAGCCAAAAGTATTAACATTTCTATTAAAGCAACATGATATTTTTAATGTATCTGTGTCAATAAGTCATCTTTCATGTGTAATACAACTCAAATGCATTTAAAAGACTTCTTTCAGGCATTTATTGAGGTAATTTAAAGTGCCTGACTCCTGGGTAGAACTTCTCTCATTTCGTTAACTACATTTGTCTTCCTAATGGAGTCTGGAGTACACTTAAGTATATAACTCTTTGATTCCACAATTCTATTTACCTACTGGTATTTTTAGCACCTTACTCTCTACCTGTATAGAACTAACCACGTCATTTCCCTTGAAGAGCAGACTCTTGTTTTACCCATGTCCGTATATAAAGGCATCCAAATACCTCAGAGAGATCTTTGTTCTCCATTCTCTGGCTGCTACAGCCAACAAGTCCTTCTTACTTCTATGATGTCTTTCACATTTATCCCCATCTCTCCATTCACTGCCCTAACTCAGTCCTCAGTGGCTGTCAAATGTGCTGCCCCCCACCGCCCCTAGTAACTGATTATGTGTAGCACTGATAGATCCCCTAAAGGTACAGCCCTGAAAACATCACTCCCCTTCCAAAACTCTTCACTGGTCCCATGTTACTTACCAAGTCTGTAAGATAAAGGGATTGCTAGATCTGTATATCTGGTTGGGGTGGTTGAACAGTGAAATTGTTTCTAAAAATGAAGTCTTTTATAAAATAGACCCTTAAAAAAAACTAGAGGCCTCCTAATGAAGCCAGGAGGAGCAACATGAACTCTTCTCAATGATACTTCCATTTGGAAGCTTCCATTCTTCCACGAACCCTTCAGGGAAAACCTGACTCATGTCTACAGAAAACCTCTGGAAACCACTGAGTTGGATGACTCCTAGATTTCCTTCTGGTTTTCCTAGTCTATGATTTTTTATTATTATTATTATACTTTAAGTTTTAGGGTACATGTGCACAATGTGCAGGTTAGTTACATATGTATACATGTGCCATGCTGGTGCGCTGCACCCACTAACTCGTCATCTAGCATTAGGTATATCTCCCAATGCTATCCCTCCCACCTCCCCCCACCCCACAACAGTCCCCAGAGTGTGATGTTCCCCTTCCTGTGTCCATGTGTTCTCATTGTTCAATTCCCACCTATGAGTGAGAATATGCGGTGTTTGGTTTTCTGTTCTTGCGATAGTTTACTGAGAATGATGATTTTATAAATGCATATAATTTCTACTTCAATGTGTAAAATGGTAATAATTCCTATACTTTCA
Organism: Homo sapiens; assembly: GCF_000001405.40. NCBI lineage: Eukaryota > Metazoa > Chordata > Mammalia > Primates > Hominidae > Homo > Homo sapiens. Next base: position 51,782,879 of record NC_000018.10, on the reverse strand, counting down.
AGACTCAGATACAATGTTTCTAATGCTGAACCTTTGAATGTATTGTAATCTCCTTTCTCTTCTTCTCTAACTCCCCAGAATGGCTAGAATTTATTAATCTCAGGTGGTATTCACCTTCTATCCTAAATATAACTGAAAGTTCTTTGGAGGTGAGGACTTTGCTATAATTCATTTGGTAAAATTAAAAAGACCTTCAACCTAAGTGTGTATATGTTTTTCATAAAACTGAACGGGATAGAATATAACCTCTGGGCACATTCTAGAAGGTGTAAGCAAGGAGGGCCTGCCCTGCTTCTTCAAAGTTGGAATTATTTTTTTACACTAAGAGATTATAAGGTGACTGCAGTAGAAGCATATGTACCTCTAAATAAAAATGAAATATTCTTTGGCCAAAATCTTGATGGTGCAAAGCTAGAGGGAGGCATTCACAAGACCATCTTCACTTCTAATACAAATAGCGAGTTTAGGGGCCCCCAAAGCCACACTGGTGTTCAATAATTTGCTAGAAGGATTCATAGAACTTACTGAAAGCTGTTAACACTTAGAGTTATGGTTTCTTACACTGAAAATACAGATATGTCAGTCAAGGGAAAAGACACATGAGGCAAAGTCCAGGAAACTTTCAAGCACAAAGCTCCCAAATGTCATCTGCCAATGGAATCATGGACAGCACTACATTTCCCAAAATTTATATGTGACAATATATGTGGAGTGTTACCAATCACAGCAGCTTACCTGTGCTGGTGTCCAGAGATTTTACTGGAGCTTCATCACATAGGAATGATTGCATATCCACCTGCCAGATCTGTTTCTAGTCCCTATGAGAAAAAAAGTCACGTTGATACCACATGATCCAAAGCCCTCACCCTAAATCACATTGTTAGATTACCTAGTGTGGCTCAAGGCTCTTGAGCAAATAAAAACATTTCAAGGATTTAGAGATTACTTCCGAAAAGCCATTGGAAAAAGGCCAGGGGTGTCCAAGGGAGAGAATACAGTCATGGGTTCTTAGCTTCTGTTTCTGATTGGGCCAGTGAAGCCCCTTCCTCATCCCTCTTTTCTGCTTATCACTAGAGACAGAAACTAAAAACCATGGCTTTAGGCTGCCAAAAGCCTAAAACAAAACAAAACAGAACAACAAGAAAAATAAGGTGGGTTGGACAAGCTCGGTAAACCTCCCTCGGATAAGGTTACATTCTTTACTATACAAATGGCAATTGAATATATGAAAAATACAACGGCAAAAGTTAAATATATATATATATATATATATATATATTTAACTATATATATGTGTATATATATACACACACATATATATGTATATATATATACACACACACACACACACACACACACATATATATATATATATATACACACATATATATATATAATTGTTAAAAAGAAGAGAGGAACCACTGGTAAAACCTTCTGTGGCTATTCAAAGGAGGTCATTCATGAATGGTTGTCCAATAATCCTTGGGAATTTTGTGGAACAAAGTGGAACACAGGCAGCAGGGTATGGGGGAAATGCCAAACAGAAGTTTCCTGCATTCCCAGGCAATTCTAAACTCAGTCTTTGCCATGAGTCCACGAGCATAATGCCTCACCCCCACCACATCTAGAAAACAGGTGGATCTCCCAACGCTGACCCTCTAGACACTCAGATCTTTTGTATCCCCCTAATATGTTACTCTTAACCTGCCACCAGCTTCCTTAGAGCCCTAACCTACCCTGAATCTACTAGCAATCTGGAGAAGCTGGCACGGTTGGAAACTTCTTCCTTCTCCTCAAGCACTTCCCCATCCTTACCCTCTAGTCTATAATGTAAGTAGGTGAAGGTTAGACCATGATGTCCAGTCCTTTGAGTGTCAAGGGTAGCAATCAGCAGTTAATGGGATAAAAGCTCATCCACGGTGGACATAGGGACCTTTACACTATGCAGCAATAATGAACACATGCTACAGGTGCTAACAAGATGTACAGGCAAGATCATCGAACATAAACCCTTATCTAACATGTAAGAACTTCCCCAAATAAATGCATCTCAGCCTTTGGTGCAACCTTTAGTGATAGGAAACACATTACTTCATGGGAAGAGTTTAAGTTATACCCTCACAAGTGCTAATATGGATACAGTTACAACAATACCTAACACTCCTATAGTGCTGCCCACATATCAAGAAATGTGCTAAGACTTTATATAGCAACTCGTGTAATTCTCCCAACACAGCCCATGAAATAGGTATCATCATCTTTCACGAATGCCAAAACTGCAAAGAGAGACCACATCCATGCCACAGAGGACAAGTCAAAGAGGAGGTGGAAATTAATCCAAGCATCTTGGCTTCAGATCCTGCCATTTTAGCTACTGCTTCACACTGTCTCTAAGAGGCGAGAGGCTCAGCCCAGAGTTGTTTCCTCTCATTGGGTCACCTGCTGGTGCCCTGGCAGCCGCGGAGATGTGTTCCTGACTTACCCACTCACTGGCACCCAGGCCTGAAGGTCTCCACTGATTTACTTAGGGCTCATGGCTCTTCAAAGCATGAGGGTGACTTTCTATCATCACTGCTCAGTCAGGGACCAAATGTGCTGGCATCACAAGAATTAGTATTCTTGACCAGCACAACTTGCACACAGACATTTTACTTAAGGCACACCCCAAACTAGACTTTGGGCCTTGACTATATGATATGCTTGTCACTAGTGCTCTCTGTCCATAACCAAAGTTCTGCTACTGAAACCGGGACACAGTCTAGACTTCCCCTTGCCTTCAGTTTCTCTCAAAGACCACTGTTTCCAGCATGTTGCTGCCCCAAATGTTTAATTTTGAAGTTCCAGATGAGCTATCAACTCCAATATCTTTTCTCCCAGAAGCCCTTGAGACACTTAGGAAAATTTGTTGACTTCAGGTAGAAAGCAGGAGAAAGGTACTTACATAATCCCTTTGCTCGTCTGGCAACAACGTCCAAATTCTAAATGCAAATGGAACTGGCAATATGAAACTGCTCACCTGCAGCACCTGAGCCCCTGACTGCCCCACTATGTGTTCACTGGAAGGCCACCTTATACCCCACACTGTGATGTAGTTCACTGGCAACTAAAGTTGCATTATAAATGTTTCTGCCCTCAAGGATTTCTCTCACTAAAAGTACATATGAAATCAATCCGCAATGATTTTCTTAGCACTGTGTGATGGGTGCTCTAAAACTCATGGACTAAAGCCGGAGAGCATACGATTTTACTAGATAACACATCGTGTAGTATGACCTTATAGCCTGAACTACTTTGGGGGGTGGGACTCAATCCCCTGCCCCCACTACACATTTCCGCCTGTAGTGACCTCCCTCAGAGGAATGCTTCTGGCCTCTCAGTGCCCCCTTCATGCCATGACTACACTGATTGTTGAGCAGGAATGGACAGAGCTCAGTCAGACCTCTGCCATCTTTTTGAAATCTGCCTTCTTTGGGCGGCTTTGGTCTACTCTGGCCTGAAGTATGCTTAGCATTAAAGGCTCAGCCTCTGGAAGCCAGGTCTGCAGTCTTCCAACTCCTCCTCAGGCCAAGTAGGTTTCCTTCTGGAACACAATATAAGCAAACCTCTATCATTTGAATAAAGCACATTCTCCAAAGAGATTAACCTGGATTAAAGCCTGAAATCTGTATCTCTTTAGAAGAGACTCCTGTTCTCTTCTACAGCGGTTCTGAATGCAAATAGGGAAAAATAGGGTTGTTACTTTAAAAGCTGCCTCAAACCCTAATGCTACTCCACTGCCATAAAAGTCTTAGCAGATACAGGGACGGAAGGTTTTCTTAGAGGGCTGAGTAGCATTGGATAAGCAGCTCTCCAGTCTTCCATTATTACTTCTCCATGGTGGTGTTTGCTGCTGGTGCTTTGTTCTATTATTTCGCCACTCGGAATTGCCTCCAGTTCCACTCAAACGACCATAACTCCCTCAATTACTGGTCTTCAACACTGGTTGTCTCTCCAAGGCAGCCACTTTAAGGGAATCTCTTCCTAAATAGCTCTTCATTTTGATTGGAACAGGAAAATAAACACCAACAGATTCTCACAGCTTTATCTGGCACCACCACCAAAAGAGTGATCCAGGATTAATTTTTGTGGGTTCCCAAAGATACTTTTCTTCCGCTTTCTATCTCAAGTCCTGCTTTGACCAAGCAGCTCACTCAGGGGTGAGCCAACAACACATCCCCTCCTCATCCCTCTATCACTGATGAGACATTAAAAATTCAACTTCCTCTTCTTTAGTGAACAATTATCTCACTCATTGGCTTGATTCACTGATCTCTTAATGACAGCTTTCCTGCGGTTTCCTTTGAATGTTTAAAATATGAAACAACCCCATCTTGTCAAGCTGAAAACTGTGGCTGAGTTTTTAGTAGCTGTTTCCAATAAATAATTTCAAGGGATTTCAAATTATCCATCACCTGACAGCTCTTGGGAGATTTTCTCATCTCCTTCAGGCATAAAAAGCCATTTCTAACCTCCACACCATCCCTCTGATTACCCTCAACGATTTTCAAAATTGGTTCCATTCTTCTGAAAGAACCTCTCTCCCCATCAATATTGACAGGTGCTTTGAATGAACACATGCCCAGAAGAAAGGGCTCCCTAAGACTGTCCTTCCCCTGCCGGGTTGCACTAGTAAATGGATGATAAAGATTAGAATGGATTACCAGTTGTGTTTATGTAATATCTTTTGAAAAGATATACATGTTAGGAAGAGAAGCTATCGGACGGAGGAATCTAAAGCAATTTCTAGTGGGAGAAGGTGAAAATATCTTCATGAAAAGATTCAATTTAGAAAAAGTCATGCACAGGGGTTTATGCTATCTACCTGTCACCAGAGCTTCTTCCTCCTTTCTTCCCCATGAAAGGATGAAAAGGAAAACTCAGAGAGGGATGTTAGAAAGAGGTGCAGTCTTTAGTTTATTCATAGCTGGTGGAAAAAGACTGAAATAGCCAATAGACTCTGCAATGAAGGGGTTCTTCATGATCTCTGGAAATGAGAACTTCAGAAGTTACAGAACTAGAAAATTCAGTCTTTGGACATCTTCATGCTCAGAGGAACTGAAGGTCAAGAGCTGAAATTAGCAGGTAAGGGAAAGCAGTTGAGAAAATCTAACTCTAGGAATTAGTTCTGAATCTCAAAGAGGGATTCTGGGTATTTTTTAAAGAGTTTCATATTCTAAATTAGCAAAAATACTAATAATTCCTCTACATATATTTGTAGGAATTTGTACTGTGTCTTATTGACATTGAAAGCGTTTTTATATTGCTGTGCTTAATTTTATTTAAAAGGCTTGTTTCTGTTTTTTAATTTAAGGAAAGCCATACTATCAAACAAACCTATGAGCTAAGCTCTGGGGTGATATGTAAAAATAGAAAGTGTTTCCTGGACTTAAACAGCTCATAAGGTAATAGGGAAAATACACATATAAATAACTCTAATGAATGCAGGAGATAAACTAATGAGATTCTTCCTCTTTGCACGTCATCATCACCTTTAAAACAAAATAAAATCTGTACACACAACCACAAGTCAAAAGCAAGTCCTCTTTCAGGGTTCTCTAGCTCACCTACCTAATGACACAAACCAGAAACCTAATTGTCATCAAACCCTCAACCCCAAATCTAGTCTATCACTATGCTAGTTGATGTGACCACTTTATACTATTTTAGATCTGTTGACTTCTGTAGAGCAGCTGCCATCGTCATCAACACCATCTCTTTAACCCACATCACTGCCCAGATGACTAAATGGCTTCTAACTACCATGTCTGTGTCCTCCTGCACCCCTCCAGTCCACCCTATGGATGGGAGCCAGAGTGACCTTTCCAAAGCGTGAAACTGATTGTGTCATCCCCCTGTTTAACCCCCTCCGAATATGTTCCATTGTTCTTCAGATTAATGTCAACTTTCTCTACCTGGCTTACAGAGAGCTGCACAGTCCAGCCCCTGCTGACTCCTCCAGCCTCAGCACAGGCCAAGAAGCACCCTCCCACCCCCACCCCCGCTTCATCATGCAATTCCCTGAGGGGCCCTGCCCCTGCCACAGGGCTTTACACACTCCAGCTCTGCAGTGCCACCCATCGCTCCTCACCTTACCAGCTCTTACGCAGCCTTCGGAGGCTGAGCATGTGCTGTGTCCTCTTTAACCTTTGCCTCATGGCAGGTGCAATCTTCCACTTATTTATGTGATATGATTAACAGTCATCTCTCTGATCAGACTAACATAGTGCTTGACATATATGAAGTATTAAAAATATTTTTTGAATGAATAGATTCATAAAAATTAAACTGGGATTGCAAAATGGAATTCATAAACAAAAGTGGTCCAAGAGCAACTTACGAAAGCAACCTTTTGCGTTGAGTCTTAAAAGATAAGTAGCAATTTACTAGGAACAGAAATAATTAAAAGAATAGTTGGGGCAGAAGCCATGACCTGAGAAATGTTTGGAAAATGTGTGAAGTATAATTGATGCTTAAACAGGTTTGAACTGTCTGGGTCCACTTATATGTGCATTTTTTTTCAATGAAGTTTACACCAAGTGTGCCTGCCTCTCTATCTACCTCCTCTGCCCCCTCTGGGACAGCAAGACCAACTTCTCCTTCTCCTCAGCCTACTCAGCGCGACGACAACAAGGATGAAGGACTTTATAGTGATCCACTTCCTCTTAATGAATAAATTTTCTCTTCCTTACGAATTTCTTAAACTTTCTTTTCTCTACCTCACTTTATTGTAAGGATACAGTGTATAATGCATACAACATGCAAAGTATGTGTTAATCAACTGGTTAAGCTATCAGTAAGGCTTCTGGTCAACAGCTGACTATTAGTAGTTAAGTTTTGGGGGAGTCAAAAGTTATACATGGGTTTTCAACTGTGCAAGGGGTTGATATCCCTAATCTCCACATTGTTCAAAGGTCAACTGTATTCCAGATCTGTACATCCCCTGCCATAGCTGGCATAAAAAGTGAATATAGTGGCTGCAGATGAGGGTACAGAATTAGGTTTGAGCAAAGTAGTGAAAGGCAGTGAGAAGCACAGGGAACATCTGGACTTGATCCTGTGCGTGATGGGGGCTTGCTGAGTATTAATCACAGACTGGAATGATCCAAAACAGAGTAGGGAGAAAGGATTAGATGGAGAAGATGCTGCAGGCAAGAGATCCATTAGGAGGCTAACAAACAGTAGATAAAGGAGTAGGGAGAAGGGGTCCAATTCAAGAGCATTTTAGAAGGTCAAGTGGACAGGACACAGTGATTGAGTGGCTATCAGGGGTTGAAGGAGAGGAAAGGAGCATAACTTTTTTTCCAAGCAACTGGATAGATGATGTTTTCATGAACTTAAACAGAGACCTTAAAAAGAAGAATTTTAGGCATAGCACAGAAGAGAACAAATAATTTCATATTTAAGTCTATTGCATATCCCAGTGGAGACATCCAACAGGCCCTCGGATACCTACCTATGGTCCTTAGGAGAGGAGTCGTGGCTATAGTGTGAGGAGTTGCGTCAAGTACATCTCAACTTACATCCAGGCTATGGTTGACAAATGGCTCTAATGGATGTAGACACTCCAACAGATATGGAGTTAAGGCCCTGATTCTGCATTAAGTCTGATTTTGAAACCACATGCAAGTTTACTGGGAAACAAACTTGTGAACAGTTACCAATATCAGCTGTGCATGTCAAGGTAATATGTTTTTGCTATTTATTACTGGATTCAGATCAGGCTTGGACCACATTGCCTGGAAGTAGTAATACTGCGGTAGCTAAGAGGACAGGGCTCTACTAAATGACCCAGTTCAATTCATACTCAACATCTTTGAACTTTAGAAAAGCATTGAATTTCTCTCTGCCCCAGTTTCCTCATTTTTAAGATATGGACAACAGTATTACCCACCTCAAGGCATTGAGTGAAGTATAGTATGTTACAATACTTACCACTATAACTGGTATATTGTAAATGCTCTTTAAATAATAGCTCTTTTTGTCACTTACACACTTATCATTACAGTTAAATTCAACAAGTATATACATATTGAGATGCTCCTACCTGCCACCAACACTGACGGAGGCAATGGAATGGTGGTACAAAAATAAATGTATACAAATGCCCTCAAGGAGCTCACTTACTTTCTAGTGAAGGCAGCTGCTTTTTAGTGGAAACTAAAGGGTAAAACAGGACAAATATTGAAGGGCAAGGAAAATGACAACAAATGCTCACATGCCAGACTAGCTACAGTCAGTACTTCTGTGATGCTTGGAACATGATTCCACTTTTTCCAATCTGCATATAACTTGTGGGGCAAATATTATCTGTTGGGTGCTATTACCTATGTGGGGAAAACACTAGTGTTCAGTGTGTACTCACTGTCCCCAGTCCAGGTGTGTCTTTCTACAATTTAGCAGGTAAATAACATTTCCTATTTTATGTTATACTTGGTCACATAAATAAGGATATGAAAGTTCAGGGGGTTAAGTCACTTTATCCAAGGACATGAAGCCAAAGCCACAAGAGATTTGAATGAAGATTGTGTACCTTTGAGCTTGCAGGACAGTATTCACCACCCCCAGATAACTTTCTTTGCACAGAGGTCGTGGAGACCTTAAAGGGACCATTACCTAAGGATGATCTAAGCAGGGATGGAGAGATGGAATTCCGGCATGTTTTCTGAAATATTTATAAGCTTTGAAATGAATAGTTTTACTAACATGGATAAGTGGATGATGTCAATGTCTTTAAGTAGCTATTATCTGTGAGAATCTATGGAACCCACTTAATTGCAGAATTTGGGAATTGAAAGGACCTTAGAGATCATCTGGTTTTACCTCCCACACCATATAGAAGCTTCTTTTTGCAGAAATTTTCAAAGAACTTAGAAGGATACACATACAGGTTTCTCCAAAAATTGTACAATCTCACAAGGGAAAGCCATCCTAGAAGTCATCCAATCCAAGGCCTCCAGTTGACAGGTAAGGAATCTAAGGTCCAAAATGTCCAAGTGACACATTTAGAACCACCCACCACTTGTCTCCAGGAATAGGCCCAGAAAGCAAACCACCTAGAGTCACACTGCCCTGTCTCAATTTAAGATCTTAAAACATACAGTAAAGAAAAAAATTACAGATGACTCTATTATCCATTTTTCACAACAGATAATTTAGAAAATGCTGTTTGGGACCAGGAAGTTACAGGAAGAAAAACAGGGAAGTCCAGCTTAAAATTGCATATAAACACTTTGATAACTAGATATCTTGGTCCTAAGAAAACATTCCTGGCTTTTGACAGGTTCAGAGATGTGCAAATGACAGGAAAAGTCACACTGAAAGATTTGTATTACGAGTACTATCATATTGCAGGTAAATTGTGCAATAGGTTTCCTAGATAGGCTGCATAAGCGCCAAATAGGAACATTTTTATCCCTTATTTAACTGACATTGGGGTGGGATACAGCTAAACATTAGGAATGAAATGTGTTGTGTAAGAATGTGCCAGTGCTGGGATTTTTTCTCACTTCCTCAAAAGTAGGGCATTCTTCTCTCCAGTCTACAGTCTTAAAAGTTGAAGCTAAGTTACTCCAGCTTACTGGTTATCCCAAATAAGTGGCAGAGCCTGATTTTTTTAAATAGAGATGGAATTTTGCTATGTAGCCCAAACTGGACTTGAACTCCTGGGCTCAAGCAATCCTCCTACCTCAGCCTCCTGAGTAGCTGGGACTGCAGGCACATGCCACTGCACCCGGTTTAGAGCCTAGATTTTTAAAGAGATTAATGGTTAGTCTATAATTTAGTAGTCTGGAGTCCAAGCCTTCTTGCAAAGTCTTCTGAAGCAGGCTACATTTTGAATAAAATAAATAAGGGTTTTATTCAAATTTATTCCTGGATTTAAAAGTATACAACCCATCTCCTCTTTATCCAGGGGGATTTTAGTACTCACTGAAAATAGAGTTCTACCCGGAAGTAGGCTTACTTCTTCCCCACTACAACATGAATTTGGTCAATGCTCTTTCCAGCATTGTCTGGACAGACATTTCTCCAGAACCCTTAACCAACAGGGGGTTGTATTGTGTTCAGTTAGCCAGTGCCAAGGGATATACCAATTGAAGTTTTCTAATTTACAATTTCCATCAAAGTTTAGTGACTCCCTGTTGACCACATACAGGATAAAGTCCAAATTGCCTTGTGATATGTGTAGGCTAGCATACAAAACCTCCCACGCCCTGGCTGGAATTTCCTATTTAATGTTTTGCCCAGCCATTGCATTTCCCAAGCCTTCTACTCAACTTAATTGGTCTTTTCCATCTTCCAAACATATTTTACACTACTCTACCTCCACATTTTTGTTGAAGTTGTTTCTCCATTCTCAAATCCCTCACTTTCATCATTAATCCAGATTCTACCATCCTCCAAGACTCAGTTGTGATTCTTACTACTTTTGTTTGTCGACTAAATAATTGCTTTTATGTCAAGCCCTGTACTATGTGCTAGGTATTCCTAGGTATAAAGTGGTGAAAGAGAAAAAGTAAAAGCTCTAATCTTACCTTCTAGTTGAGGGTAGGGGAAGGAGAAAGAGAACAAACAGGCAAACCAATTAATATGCAATAATCAACAATAACAATTGCTATAGAGGGAACCACCTAAGATAGAAAATGGATGTCAGTGGAATGATTGCCTTTGACAGCGGTGATTAGAGACCTATCTGGAGAGGAAACCATTGGAACTAAGACTTAAGGATGAGAAGGAACCAGATGTCCCAGGGGCATTCCAGGCCAGAATAACAAGGTAGAAAGCTTTGGATGGTGAAGGATAAAAGTGGCAGGGAGTAAGGGTGGTGATGCCACAAGATTTCTAGTAAAAAAAAAAAAAAAAAAAAAAAAAAAATCTGCTTTTCCCTCTGACCTCATCTGCCACTTGTTTTAATCTTATCTTCTTACATACCCTGGCTGCTTTGTATCCATCCCAGTATTTTGCCAGTAAATAAAAGCTCATGGAAGCTATTCAACGAATAATTGCTGAATTCTTTCTTCCTCACAAGTAGGACATTCTTCTGTCCAGGAACTCTGGTTTCTTAAGGGCAGGGCTTTCCATGCTCCAATGTCTCAGGACAGAGATGAGCATGAAAAATTTATGAATTGATTTCCCCCATCTACTCTAGGAAACCAGATCTATTTGTAATCACTTTTACCCTAATGGTCAGAGGCTGTCTTCCAAATCTTACTCCTTTCTAGACGGTCACATCACCCTGTGAAGTGTCCCCTGACAACCACACCTAGGCTGATTCTCCCTGCTCTACACATCTGGCCTCCAACCTGAAAGTGAACCCATATCAGTACAAATGTTTAAGTCATGTACACATATAACTGCTTTAATACATTTACTTAGAAAACACTAAAAAATAAGTTGAAAGGGTAGGTTCTTGTGAAATACACAATTTCTATTATAAAGAGTCAAACCATTTTACTGGAGAGAGAAAGCAATATGTTTGAATGTTCCACTATGTTTTTAAGATCTCAGTTAAATACTCTGTAATACAGTGACTTAAAAGTCGGGGTCTAAATTCAGTTTATTCCAATACCTGTTTCAATAGCTCTATAGCTGAAAATGATACCTCAAAATTACATAAGCACAAACAGGGGAAATGCATCATTGGCTGTATTTAGCAATCATAATATCCACTGCCCCCCACACCACCAATGCTGTCTACCAACTATTCGGTTAATAGAGTTCTATTCCTTCTGATGTCAATCAATTGCTCTTACAACTGGCTGATGAGAAGCTCTAATGCACAACTGTTGGAAAATTCTACATTTTTGTTTATTTGGATCCATGTGTTCAAGAAACCTGAGAACATGCTACTAGAATTTTTTTTACATTTAATATATGATGTTTAATTATGGCATAATTTATGGGGGGAAAATCACAAAACAATAACAACATTTTGAAACAGCCATTTTCAACTCTCTAATCCATGGTAGGTGGTGTTGGTACCTTTGCTTTTTTTGCTTTGTGTGCTTTGGGTTTTATTTCATTGGTTACTACTTTCTTACTGTTTAAAGAAAAGATTACCTTACTTGAGAGAAGGGTTTTAAATTTATATTTATATACTTGGTAGCACACTATTCAATACCACTGAAGCAACCACTTGTCACCACAGAAAATGTCAGCCAATCTAGAGCACATGTCTTTCTAAATATATAAATACATGCATAGTATTTATAAGTGGGGTAAGTCTAAGTATTTTGCCATAAGGTAACCCATGAATCACTGTGTGGTACAAAACATCTTTGTGATAACCACACAGCTCATTACGTAATATTATAAACACCTGTATTTTAAAGGACTTGATATCTAAAATTAAATATTGATGACATGCTACAATTTCATGCACCTCAAGCTTCAACTTGTTGACTGAAATATTTTACCTATAAATTCGGTAGTTAATAACTTTCATATGTGGAGTCTTTAGTAAACCTAACCTAGAACTTAAAATCCTATGTTTACTCCAATCAAAGCAGCTGTTCCATAAGTGATTACACTTGACTTTTTGGTAAAATTCTGTTTAACTTCTTAAGTCACTTGCTGTTGAGAATGTATTCTCCAGTATATCTTTCCTATTTGAAATCGCAAATTAGTCTTTGATCTATTTCAATATTTAAATTCAATCTAGCCATTATCATAAACACTGAAATTTGTTTTTTAAAAAAAGCACTTTCTTTTAACTATATACTAAGGCTCCCCTACTTTAAATTTCAGTATTTGTCTCTTCAAATCATCAGCAATGTTCTCTAATGTATTACCCAAGTATTCAGCGATAAAAGAATGACTTTAGTTCATGATTATCTTCTTTGGATTAAAATCAGCCATTCTTAACCATAGCAAGAAGAATGAATATTTTCCCATTAGCAGTTAGCATTTTACCCTCTGCTACTTGCTTAGTAGATTATCTTCTCCCAAATTATTTATTTAATCACAAAGAGGAAAACAGCAATTCTATAGTGAAGAAACTGGACAGATACTGCCTTAGCCAAGAGATCACATTTAATGGCATTAGTAATAGGACAAACCAACTTCAAGTGCCTCTCAACATGGTGCACTGAGACCTATATAATGATCATGTCTGTTGTATTCCCTGCCCAAAATACATACCTGAATTCAACCATGAGCAAACAGACAAACCCAAATTGAGGGTTATTTCACAAAATAATTGACCCATATATATCAAAAGTACCAAGGTCAAGAAAAAAGTAAGAAAGGCTAATAAACTGTTTCAGACTAAAGGAAACTAAAGAGACACAAAACTAAACATACTGTGTTATCTTGGACTGGATCCTGTACTGGATCCTGGAATGATGATAGGGTCAATATTCGATTCTCCTGATTTTGATCATGGTAATGTGGTCATTTAGGAGAATGTCCTTGTTCTTCCATAATACTTAATGAGATATTTAGAGATAATATATATGATATTTTAAAAGCAACTTTACAAATAACGTGAGTGCTTTGAATAGGCTTATCAGACTATTGATGGGTAGGAAACCATGGTTAGGAGGCCAAGACAGAGGGAAACTGAGAAACTTACAGAATGGCTATATCCCATAGGCAATTGGAATTTATTAACCAAAGATGGATGCAAAGGTCAAAACTGAAGGTTGTAGAATGACAGGTTATTATCTGGAAACAACCTTGAAAATATTTATCTGGTCCAGGACCCTTATTTGAGGAAAGTGAGACTCAATTAAGGAGATAAGATTTATACATGTAACCGTATGTATCACGTACTATTACTGTAAATAACATAAGATAATACAACATAAAATAAGCAGTAGTCAGTTCATCTCAACACTTGTTGAGACCTGCATACAGTGTGCTAGGAGCTAAGAATACAAAGATGGAATACAGATTATGTCCTTGAAGGACATTGGTTACTTTTAATATTTGAAAGTCCTGATTTGATTTCAAATATATTTCATTAAACACTGCAGTAATTTCTCCTTAATACTAAATATAATTTCAAAATCTAGCAGTTAGAAAAGATAGATTACTCTCTAGACAAGTACCTGTTTATTATCCTTAATATTCAGATACACTGTCTAAGCAAATCTATTCTCTCCAAACAAGTACTGGGTATTTATTTATGGTAGTAGTAATGGTCTTCAAAATGGATGATGAGGCAACCAATGAATCTCCTTCTAAAGTAAAACATTACAGTTTTAGGACTACAGTCAAAGGAAAAAATTCATATATGGAAATGAGCATAGAGTCTTCATCCTTCTCATACAACCTCTAGAATTTTTTCCTTATTTTCCCAGTATGCAGGTTTTTAAACTAGAAAAGCTAAAACATGAGAATTATATCAAAAATCACATTTGGCCAGGGAAATAGAGTAATCCCTTTATTTCAGAAGTCTTTGCTGTTACAGAACATTTTTTAAAGCTTATTGCCCCTGGAGCTGCTTGAAATGAAACAAAATAAACAAATGCTAGTCATCCTGTCCAAAGGGAAAGGACAGTGTCCTGCCCTGAGGAATTCTACAACTGAACATGACAAGCCAAAAATCTATTCCTACATTTGCATTTCTTTCCTGAATGATTTGAGTAAGCATTGCTCCCAGAACTACAGCCCAGGGAAGCAGCAGATAGTCCTGACTAGAAAAGAGCACACATGAGGAAACATGTCACTCTGGTTAAAGACTGGCATCAAGTGGACTTTATGCCACAGGTTAAAATTTGAGATACAAGGAAAACATATATTCTAAGGCTGAGAAATCCATCTGAAAGAAAGAAGTAAAAAAAGAGAAAGGTCTGTAGAATGACTCCTCCAAGTTAATAAGGGAGGGTGTCCACCTGAGCTGCGAAGGAATGAGAGATGAAACACCCAATTTCAGGCCCAAATTTCAGGCAGGCTTGTGTTAGGAGGCAGCAGCAACAGCAGCAGCAGCAGCAGCAGCAGCAACAGCAGCAACAGCAGCAGCAGCAGCAGCAGGTGCTGGCAACTGGTTTCTAGAGTTGAACGTCAGGCCAGGGAATTCTATCTCTGAGGAATGGACATTCAAAGCAGGAAACCCTTTGCTGGGAATAAGGTATGACCTGGTTACTAAAGAACTAGGAAAAGGGAAAGACTGCCACAAAAGGCATATAGGCTGGGGCCTTGTCCCCATAGAACTGCCAGGTCACCAGCACAGCAGGGTGAGGGCCAAGGCTGGGCCCAACAAGTTCCTGGATCCTTAAACTTCAGCCATCTGCAGGCAGGACTCAGGTGGAACTGAGCCTACAGGGTTGAGGTGATCTCCACTAGGAGTGTTCAAGGACTACAGGGGCAGGGAGAAGAGGCCACCATTGCACCCCAGATAGGGCTTTCAGTTCCTCAATGGCCCAAACTACAGAGTAGTAATGGCCTTTCATTTTCTCTCTCTCACTTCTCTTTCTAGTCTGGGCTTTGCTCTTAATGTACCCTCATCACTTGATATCAAGTATAAATTTCATGTAGGTCTTACCCAGTACACCATAAGCTTTGTGAGAGCCAAGTCATTGTCTTCTGCATCACGTGTTGAATCAAACATCAATTCGACAAACAAACAAATGAATCTCCACCTGGTGGATGCACAGGAAGACTGTCTTAACTAGTTCCCCTAGTTGAGACTACCTGGTTCAGGAAGAAGACCTTGTCTGCTGCTGTTTCTCTGAACAAGTGTCTGGTTTCTTTGCCTGGATTCCAGGCCCTGCTTCCTCAGTTATCTGTGTTGCCCTGTAACCTTTGAACCCCAGCTGACCAATCAAAGACCTTTGAAGCTCTAGGCTGTGTTCCTATGGATTATTCTAATTCTTCATTTGCCCACAATGTGCCCTTGCCAGACAGATGTACACCTACTGATTTGATCTGGTCTAGATATACCCCTCACTGTCCTTCCAGATGCCTCACATTGTTCAAGGGCAGCTGCAGCTCAGCCACTGGTTTGGGGCTATATTTTAGGCCCAGCCATGTGTCTCTCCAGTCCTTCATCTGCCATCCTATCCTAGCAGCCACCAAGCACCTCAGCATGACAGGTTGGTAATCAACAACTGTGACCAAAGCGGCCATTAAGAACTTGCTGTTGTTAAAACGCTTTTTTCTTTTAGGTACCAAGATTAAAAGCAGGCACCAGAACACCTACAATGAATATAAAGTAATTACATTAATAGTACATACATGCATACACATTATACATATATAGTATAAATTAACCAAAAGCTTAAAATGTAGTTATTGAACATGATGTTGTATACCTGCATTTGAAATGCTTAGCCAAATGACTATTGTGATGTTGTCAAATGTTTAGCTGCCATTCAACAATTTGAGGATCAGAAATTCTATGCTGCCATACTTTAGGGGAACTTCATTCTTAAATCCTGGGTCTATTCAAGGTAAAATAGTTATACAATCCTTTGATATACACTTGCCCCTGGTAAAGGAGATGCCGCCAGTGGTTTCATGGGGAACTGGCAAGTTCAGTGGACATGAAACTTACCCAGTGCCAGGGAAAGTAGATTATAAGGGACAGCTTGCAAACATTATTTTCACAATGCTGTAGAAAGGTTGTGTTGGCAGGAAATCGAATCATTAGAGGTCAATCTACATAATGCACATCTATAACAGAAACCTGCCAATTGCATGCTCACCCTTGATCATTCTTACTCATCTCAAAGAGAAAGCATCCCCTGAAACTGAGGTCACCCCAACATAAACAAGAGTAACGACATCATTCATACCCAGACATAGAGAGCAATGTCAGATCTCTCACAAGTGGACACAATTACAGAAGCAGAGATGTCCATGCAAATTGCACCACCATGCACTTCTGGTGTCAATAATGTACATGTCTTTAAAATCAAATTAAATCCTACTCAGCAACCAGCCTGCCTGATATTATCTAGGAGTCCCCAATGTTAACTCACTTCCTCAAAAGAGGCCTCTAAGCCTGCAATTGCAGTGGCAACTATTGCTATTGCAGCCCCAAGATGCACCACTGGCCTCCTGTTTTACCATCTGTCCAGTTCTGTTGTTGGATTTAGAGCAGAATCTCATTTGCCCAGCTTGCTGCCAAAGCCTCTGTCGTCTACTTGGTGCTGAGCAGCTTTGCAAATGGCTCCACTTCATAGAGAGTCCCTTGCTCAGACTCCCAAGGCAACTGTCTTTAAGGTGTGGCTCTTCCAGGAACCCATGTTAGTTGCCAGCACCACTTCCAAGGCACAGCCTTCCAGGGAGAAGAAACCCATCCTTCCTGCTTAAATCTCTCAACCCCACCCTACAATCTCATAGCCCAAAACACATGGTAAATAGACTGCTCTTTTCTTCAACCTGAAGCACAATGCCTCCATTTTCTTCTTCTTGCCTATCAAATTTAATTGTCCTAAAATATGTTGCTTTTATTTTTTTTATTTATTTATTTATTTATTTTTGCCTCACCTTACTTAACCTCTCAGCAGCTTTTAACAAAAGTTGATCACTGTTTTTTCTTTTGGCATTGATCATGTGACACTCTCCTGGTTTTCTCTTTTTCTACCTTGCAACAGCCTCATCTCAGTCTCCATTGCCAGGTCTTCTAATGTTGTACTTTTTGACTTATGCTTTAACAAACCCTTAAAATAATGTGCTGTTAACACTCACTAAATAATGCTTGCTCTGAGTGCCTTACATATACCATCTCATTAATGCCCCCCACCCCCCTGCAATCTCAATTCTCACATTTCATCCGTATTTTCCCTTTCTTGGTTATCTCACTCGACCTCACGGCCATAAGTACCATCTACTCACTGACATCTCCCAAATTATGTCTCTGGCCCCAGTGTTTCCCTGGAACTCCAGATTTGTTCCACAATCTCCCTATACTCAACATTGTCACTTGCACATCTGTTAGAAATCCTCAACTTAGCACACCCCACATTAAATTCTCCTCCTGCCCCAGATACACATCTCTACCCCACCCTGGTCTCCTTCTATGAGAAAGATGGCAACTGCATCTATTCCAAGATGCTCAGGCCAAAAATCGGTAGCCATATTTGACTCTTCTCGCTCTCTTAACCTACACCTAATTTATTACTGTATTCTTTTGGATCACATTTGGTCAGAAGTAGACTCTGACCATCTCTCTTCACTTCTGCCATCCTAGTCCAAGCCAGCATCATCTCTCATCTGGATAAACGGTCGAGCTTTCTACCAGGGTATCCTTCTTCCACTTCATCTTCATATTGTCGATTCTCCTCACAGCCACCAGAGAGGTCAGACTTCCCTATTGGCTTCTTATCCTATATAAAATATATCCAAAGTCCTTTCTATAGCCTAAAAGCCTGAAGTGATTTGACTCCCATTGTCTACCTGGCTTCATGCTCATTCTTCCCAACTCGGTTTGAACAACATGCTATTCTCCAAGCAGGACTTGCTCTCATTCTTCCCATGGCTCAGAATGTTCCTTCCTGAGACCTTTGCGTAGCTCACTCCCTCCATTCCCTCACTTCATTCGGGTTTCTGCTCAATTATTACTTCTGCAGAGCTTTTTAGACATTATCTAAAACAGCAACTCCCTTCACTGTCTTTCACCTACTTTTATATTATTTAATTTACCTCTTCGCTCCCTATTATCTTGACTTTTTCCTCATAATGTTTCTCTACTTATACATTTGTTGTGAATCAAATTGATTCTCCCAGCAGACAAGATATTTGTATTCATTGTTTTACCCTTAATGTCTAAAGGGAGCCTGTCACCCAGAAGTTAATTACTATTTAATAAATAAATTTTCACTAATAATTCACTTTTGACTTTAAACAGAGTTGAAATTCCATCACTAGAAAACAAAAGATTTTACCTAAAAAAATAGACTGTGTTTGTTGGCATTATTGCTATTGCTTAACCACATAAAGACAAGATAACCCTCTCAATTTCAGCTCTAATAACACACACAGAGCATACTAGAGAAACTCTTGCAGGCAGACAGCACTCTATTGAATTGAAAACTGATTCATGGAACAACATTTGAAGTAATTTTGAAGAATACAAGTGATTTCAAATTCACAACTCTCTTCCTGATAGAAGAGTTGATTGCTGTTTCTCAACATGAGGCTCCAGTTATTCTAACATCTCTACTTTTGGCTTTATGATTACAAACGAAACATATCAGATTGTGGTTTACCACTAGTTTAATTCAGCCTGCTACTATGATTCTATAGGATACCATCTTGTCAGGGAATCATCATTCATTTATTCATTTATTTAATATCTTGTGTGAGGGATGTGAGGGAGAGAAAGGAGGAATCAATAATTTAGAATATTCAAGACACCCCAGTTTGTCTAAGACATTTCTGGTTTTAGCATTGAAAAGCTTATATCTTGGTAAACCTCCCAGTCAAACCAAGGTAGCTGGTTACCCTACAAAAATTACTCTTAGGATTTGGGCCTGAGTAATGGGGTAAATGGTAGAGTTATTTACCAAGATAGAAAATACTTGGGAAGAAACAGGTAGGAAGATGAAATTAAGACTTCCCTTTTTAGATGCCTAATAGGCACCCAAGTGGTAGCTGGATAAATTAATCCAAACTTAAAGAAGAGGTTAGAAATAGAGTTGTAAATTTTGAACCCATTATCTTACAGATAGTATTGCAGAATCATGAAATTGAATAATAACCTTAGGGAGCGAGCATGATACAGTGTCTTCAGGCCTCTTTTGTGGAGTTCTGCTGTAAGAGAAGCTCTCAGAAAACTGTGGCTAAGAACACATTGAACACCTGTGACTTGACAATCTGGATGTACTGCAATAGGGCTCAGGTGCCGGGACATTTAAAGAAAAAATGTAGTAAAATCCCTTTTCCCTTAAGGAATATAATATCTGAGGCTAGCATCCCCAATTTTACTTTTGTACCCAATTATGTCACACAATTTTCTAAACAAAAATGATTTCTAGTTCAAATGTTCTCTGACTATAAAACTGCAACACAGCCTATTGTTATCTCAACCTATCACTGAGCTATCCATGAAGACAAGTTTTAAAAAGATTCACAACTCTGGAAACCAAACCTGTCAGAAAACATAAAGGCAGAATGTAAGACGAACTGACACTAAGTACTGATCAGATAGAACTAGAGTAGGAAAAACCTATACAGTGCAGCTCCAATTTCCTTTATAAAAGAGATCACTTGATTGAAAAAACAAAAAAAATGCTTCTTCAGGCTTCTGGATAAAAATGGCAGAGTGAAAATAGGCATTTACGTTTGCTCCCTTCTGCATAGAAACTGAAACTATGGGACAGATGTTATTGACACTAAAGACCAAACAGAAAATAGGCAAAAAGAATAAAGCAGCAGAAAAAAATTGTAAAACTGAGCTGTAAATAGACAAGAAGCAATTTACCTAGGCTAGAGTGCTGAATCCCAAAGAAGTTTTAAGGGTAGCACAGAAATGGCCCAATTTACACCACAGAAATTAACTAACACTGACAATCTTAAGTATCAGTGGCACCTAGTGCCTCTGAAGTAGAGGTGGAGGTAAAACTACAAAGAAGAGCATTAACTAGAAGTTTGTTTAAGAAGTTGTTAGTGCCCAATCCCCGTCCCCTATTCCATGCAACCGATGTCTTTCTTTCTCCAATACTTGCAGAAGAGGAAAGGTTTATTCTCTAAAGATAGTAAAATCAGGCAATCAGGCAATTTTCAGACTAAAGAAAGTTGGGCAGATAAGGGTAGGAGTACTATACTGAAAACAGGTGAATTACGTAAAATATTTATATCTAGACTACCGAAGCCACTTCAGACTCATATATACCACTGCCTAAATGTAAGAAATAAAATTATAAAAATCTTAGACAAAAACCTAAGTATATCTTCACAACCTTAAAATAGACAATGATTTATTAGCTATGACACCAAATGCACAAGCAATCCAAGAAAAAATATATATAAATTGAACTTAATCAAAATTAAAAATTTTGACTGGAAAGAACATTATCAAGAAAGTGAAAAGACAACCCACAGAATGGGAGAAAATATTGGCAAATTATATGCCTGATAACTGCCTATATATTAATATATTCTTTATAATATAAATATTATATTAAGAAATTTAAAATTGAATAAGAAAACAATCCAGTTAAAATGGGCAAAGGATTTGAGTAGACATTTCTTTAAAGAAGATATACCAATGGCCAATTATCACACGAAAAGATACTTAACATCATTAGCTGTTAGAGAAATACTAACCAAAACCCCAATGAGATGCCTATGTCCACTAGAATGGCTAGAATCAAAAGGAAATAATAACAAGTTTTGGTGAGACTGTAGAGAAATTGGAGCCCTCACCCATTGTTGGTGGGAATATAAAATGATGTGGCTTCTTTGGAAACCAGTTTAACATTTACTTAAAATGATAAACATAAAATTACCATATGATCCAGGTATTTCACTCCTAGGTTTATGCGTAAGAGAAATGAACACATGTCTATACAAAAAGTTCTACAGAAATGCTCATAGCAGCATTATTCATAAGAGCCAAAAAGTGGAGACAACTCAAACGTCCATCAACTAAAGAAGAGATAAACAACATTTGCATATTTATACAATGGAATAGTATTGCGCCATAAAGAATGGTATTCTGATATAGATGAACCTTCATAACATTCTGCTAACTAAAAGAAGTCACAAAAGAACACATATGATGTGATTCCATTTACATGAAATGTCCAGAATAGGCAAATTTATATATATAGATTTTATATATATATAAATTTATCTATATAGATTTTATATATATATATAAATTTATCTATATATATATAGAAAGTAGATTAGTGCTTATCAGGGGCTGGGGAGGGGGGAGTACAGGGAGTGACTCCATTGGTATGAGCTTTCTTTTGGGGTTGATAAGAAATGTTCTGTAATTAGATGGCAGTAATCCATGCACAACTTTCTTCACTTTAAAAGGGTGAGCTATGTGAATTATGTTTCAATAAAGCTGTTATATTTTTAAAAAGAATACAATGTTATAAAAACAATTTTGATCAAAAACAGTCTCCCCAAAGACTAATATATCTGGTAGAGGCAGATAAAATAAAATTGTGTTAAACTTCTCATATGTTAGCATTTCCCTTTTGATTTTAAAATTTGGATAAATAAGAAGCTCTTTTGTAAAACATAAAGGCAAACATAAAAGCAAAAACATAGCAATCTAGAAAAATACAAAAAACTTGTTCCAAATGTGGAACAAAAATAAAATTTTAAAAGAGGTAAAAAAAAAAAGGTATCAGTGATCACAATAACTCAAACTTTGTTCAATTCCCACTAAACACAAACATGTTCAAATTGGGCCAAATCAAAACTCAACTATAATTTTGGTTGTTAATATATAGTCCTAATATACAAGTAGAAATAAAGTAAATTTTACTGAATAGTAGAGAATTTTAAAATCTATTTTATCACCCTCTTTTTCTTTACCATATCAAGAAATCTTCATTCTCTGAGAGACCCCCTCTTTGAAATTCTATCTCTTATCCATTGCTCATTTGAGACGTCTTGATAGCAAATCAATGTTTTCCATGACTGACACTACTGGCTGTTTAAACAAAAGCCTCCTCGTTCCTAGAAAACACGCCCTCGATTTTACGAGGGCATCAACTAGCCAGGTGTTCAGAGAAGCACCAGGCTCTTCTACCCTATTTAAGGAAAGAAATCCTCATTACACTAAGATAAAAAATGCTTCCTGTGCTCTTTGAGAGTGACTGCTTCAGGAAAGGACATATCACACAATTCCAGACAAAGAGACTTAAGGGGAAATCTTCTAAAGATATTCTAGGAAAATTTTTCTTTGAAAAGTGGATTTGCTGTTCCTTGAGTAATGATAGACCTGGAGCTGCTACAACAATCCTGCAAACACGGTGCAGGAAGGCAGGTGTAAATGACCTGTTAGGATTAGGTACACCAGGAAGACAAGAAAAATCTGAGTCCTTGGGGATTCTGGACCACAAGCAACCCCTAGATCAGCCATATTTTTGGGCTTAGGAGATAATAAATTTTGTTATTCAACCACATTTTTAAAAAACTTTGTGAAAGTTGTCAGAATCAAGATGGAGTTGCTTGTTTTAAATACTCTGATAAAACCATGGAAGGCCATGAAAGGAGGTTTTTCATTAATAAGTGCCTAAAAACAAGAACTATCTCAAAAGACTCTGCAAAATCCAACTCTTACACAAAGGCCATTGAAACTTTCCAGTAAAAAAAAAAAAATTCCTCTTTGAAGACATCTGCTCAACAACTGCCTGTCTAACCTCGGATTTGTACTACCCATGTTATTGATTCTTGTAGGCAAGGATAATTATCTCAAAAACAATTATATAAACTCTCCCTAATTTTCTCTTAAAAACATTGCCTTTTTTATATCCCTGAGTACACACATAGTTTGCTAGGCCATGCATATTCCCATTGCAATGCCTATTCTGAAATAAACATTATTTTTTTTTGGGTGCCTCTCTATGTTTGTTATTAAGGTTGACAACTTCCAGATAAAATCATCTTAACCAACTCGTTCTTTATTTAATATATAAGTACCCATAACTTAGTATAGTTTTATGCTTTGGTGGTGGATTTAGGGAGGCATGAGATGGAATTTAATTATTTGGAAGGTAAAGAAAATTTGAAATGATTGAAATAATCCAACTAATCAGTGGTGTTATAGAACACGGACAATCAAGAAGGATCAAAGTGTTTGATCCTTCAAAGCAGAATGTGCTCTGTACCAATTGATTCCAAGTCTTCCAGAGGTAAATCTCAGGGGTCTCCTCTGGGTCTTTATTCTTTAGTAACTCTAGTAATTTATTCTGAATTTTAGGTTTTAAAGATAAAATGGAAGTTGAGGATGGACATCAGGAGGGGATTTTAAAAAGTAGAAATATTGGGTGGATAGATTCATAAAACCCAGTGAAAGCTTCTTTTTTTGAATAAGTTAGCACTCATGTCTTCTCAAAACATCTTGAAGCCAGTAAAATCCCCTAAGATTATGTGACCAGATTTTTCTCCAACTGCTTTGTATATACTGGGACTCTTATCTGTCATCAGCATAATGTATTAAATTATACAATAAAAGATGAACAAACACAAATTCAGTGACTTGGAAATAAACAGGCACAGGCACATACCCACACACATAACAAATGAATATTACTAAATTACTTCTGGTTTAAAGGGAGTATCTAAATTACAGTTGCAGACTATTTAGAAAGTAACAATATTGCTAATGCACCATAATTTAAATGATACAGCAAAAGCTGCATTCAGCAGAAAAAAACCCCACAGCCTTAAATACTTTCATTATTATAAAAGAGAGAATAAAATCAATTTGAGAGACTGGAAAAAATACCAAAATATCTAAGAAAAATATGAAGAAACTATAATGATGAAAGCAAATAGCAATCAAATATTAAAAGATAAATAGTATAAGTAGTTTTACACATTTAAAATTTTGGCTTTTAAAAATGTACATAAAAAAGAAACATCTGTAGATGACTAGTCAAGAAAGAAGAGTAATTGCAAATATTTTTTACCATCAGGAATGATAAAAAATTCTCAAGTAAATTTTCCTGATATATTTTTCTAAATAACAGGTAGAGAAACTGAGTAGAGCAAGAACTATGAAAGAAATGGTTTCCAATAAATTATTTCAATAAAGATTAGTCCCAGACAGTTGTCTCAGTAAGTCTGATTATATATTTCAGTGTGAGCTAATTCCATTTCAGTGGAAATTCTTCCCAATTCATCTTAAAAATGAAGCATAAATTTTAGAAAGCAAAACAAAATTAAAACCACAGACCAATTTTACATAAACACTAAAACTCAAGCTTTAATAGAAATGATTGTCTGAGTTCTGAGAGTCGATAAACCATAATTTAACCATTTACGCTGCTATAGCTTGAGATAGATGACAAATATTCAAACCATGCCCCATCTTAACCAATTTCATTCTGAGATCTGACACTTGCACATTCTGCTTCTACTTACTAAGTACAGGGTTCATTTGATTGCAAGTGACTTTCAACTTCTGTGAGCAGAAAGGGAAATTATTGACTCACGTAATGGCAAAGTCCAAGGATACAGTAGCTGCAGAAATGGCTGGATCCAGGGATGCAAGAAATGGCAATAGATTGGGCAACCACATATGGTTATTCAGTGTGTGCACTGTACATATGCACCCAGCCACACTCTACTCTCAAAATCATGAGCTGCATTCATCCAGAAGCGCAAGACTATTCTCCTTTTCATGAAGGTGCTGTTTATTTGCCAAATGGGAACTCACCTAAAGAATACACGTTTTTCCAATTATCAGAAATTCTCCTTTATAGGCAGGCAAAGGCGCCACTCACAGGGCTCAGCTTGACTCCCTCCTTCTCTTTTTTCCTACCCTGTGTGATGGCTTTTATCTCACACAGGCTGTCTATATAGTACCTATGATGCCACTAGACAAAGCTTGCTTTGTCCTTGGTGCTGGAAATCCGAAAAAGGAAGTATATATCTGACAATTCTATTTTTTAAATCCCTCTAAAAGTTCTCATTGACTAAACCTGGGTGATGCTACCTAGTTAACAACATTTCAATGACATAGATTCAGAGTTGGACAAAGTGGTACTCACTGAAAACTTAGGATGTTATTACCAAGGATGTAGTTAGGGATGGTAGGTAAATGAATCTTACAGATACTCTTCCCTTTTCTTTTATTAATCATCAAAATCATTATCATTTTTTGTTACATTTGCATACCAGTTTACTGGCTGGGTTTTCCTCACAGTTAATGGAAATACCAAATGAGATATTCTGGAAAACATTGCCGTATAACAGAGCTGTGAACAGATACAAAGACTATTTACACAGCCAACTTTATAGACACACACACACACTGCCTTGATGCTCAGCATTGCCAGGTATAAAACTATAAGTTTCATCTTGGTATTTTTGTTTGGCTTAATATTTCTTCATTTACAGAGCTATAATGCAGCCAGCTGCTTCCTCTACTGCAGATACTTAAAACTCTGCCAAGAGAACTTTACTTATTAAATTTAAATATGTGGGGGTTTGTTTTGTTTTGTTTTGTGTTTTGCTTTTGGTATATACTGCAAAACTCGTTTTTTTTTGTTCTAAATTGTTAAGTCGGACTTTTTTTGTGTTTGAAACAACATCATCTGGTTCAGTCTTGATACTGATTTTGGGGAAAAAGCAATAATTCTTACACTACCATAATATTACTCCTGTTTCCAAATTTTCTTTTTAATTGCTGTTCCAATACATTCGGGAAAGGTAAAACTTGATTTTCCTGTAGTAAGGAGCCCCTTGTTACACCACATTATTTTGAATAGACTGCAAGAAATAAAGTAAAGGAATCCTAGCCCCGAATTTAAGACTCATCTTTGTAAATGAAGTCCCCTTTATCCCACACCTAGAGATCTGTGATCCATTAGAAATCCAAGTTTGGAGCAGTCATCTCTTATTGCTGGGGATAAAAACTTTCAGAGTCAAATCACAAAGGCAGGCATCACTTCACAGTCAACAGACAAATGGCCCATTGAGGGGGATGTGTGAGTGTGTGTGTGTGTGTGTGTGTGTGTGTGTGTGTGCATGAGAGAGAGAGAGAGAAAGAGAAAGAGAGAGAGAAAGGAAGAGGAGAAAGAGAAAAAAATTAACCAAAGTCATAAAGTCAGAAAATAAATGCTTGCCATTGTTACGCTTTTCGGATGACTTTGGAGAACCTTAAATATAAGTATTTTCTTTGATTTACCTTATTTTATCATTTACCTTAATTGGACAGAAAGAAAAGATAGCTAATTAAATTTTCAACTCTGGGAAACAAAAACGAAAATAAACCTCACTGTGGGAAAAGACGGCATGATGCAATATTAGTGATGGCATAACGAAGAGAGTTAGTTAAATGATGCTTTCAACTGACCCTGCACTTACTTCTGAGCATCAGAATGTCCAGATCTGTGCTGAGAAAAACCAGCGTTATAATAATAATGGAAAGTAAAACCTCAAGTTCTCTGTTTGCTCTGTCCCTAGTAAGCACTAAGTCACTTGGCAAACGTCTGTGCCTTCTTTTCTTCTATAATGAAATGGAAAAAAACCCTGCCTATTCTACCTTCTGTGCCTGAGGTTTGTTTTAAAACTGAAATTAGCTAATAAAAACACATGTTCAAAACTGCAGGGGGCTAAGATATGAGGAGAGTCAAGTTACATGCTTTTTTACAAATGCATTGAAGATGCCTCAGCAATATGGAAGAAGGACTGAAAGGTGCTCATTTAAAATGCAATCACCAAGAGTTTAGTAATATTGGGCAAAAAAAAGTCCCTTAATGTTGTCCACGTTAAGAAACCACGTAATGTCCCAATGACTTTCCATCAAAGGCTCCTGCAGAAATGGCAAAATTTGTGTGACATAAGTCAATTACAATTGATCCACAGGATCAGATTAAGTCCTAAACTCAGCACATTCTGGGTGGTCAAGCACTCTGGCCATGCTGCAGTTTCATGGGACTCCCAAAGTGTGTCCTTTGCCAGAATCAATTCCCGCTTCACCTGCTCTCCTATAGATGGCATCAACACTTTTCATTGTGTGGGTGCCATCTTTAAAGCACTTTTCATAAACTTTGCACTATTTGATTCTCACAACTGCCTGTAGAGAAGGAAACAGACTTTAAAAACAAGGAAAATGAGACCCAGCCAGAGTATTTTGCCCTTGATCATACAGCTTGTGTCCCAGCCAGAAGTGTATTTCTCATGCTCTTTCAGCCCATAAGAGAGGGCACAGAACTTTTTTTCTCAGTGATAAAATGTATTAGGGCTATCTTCACTATTTGATATTAACGCATGAGAGAGACGGGTGTTCATCCTTAGGATCCCTCCTCCAGCAATCATAACAATGCCTGGGAGATTTCTGGCACTCAGTATGTGCTTGGCTATTTTAATGTTTTAAATGGTAAACACAGCATTTTATCAACACATTGCCTCATTAAGTAAGAGAATAAGAACAGGCACCACCACCGCCCCGAATGTTTGTTGAACTGAGACATCCCATGAAATCCTAGAAGCTGGTTTTCTAGGTAGTAAATTTCAGTTTCATTCTCCCCTCTGTTTTTCTTCCTTCTCCATCCCTCGGCCCCATTCCTGCAGCAGTAATTTTCCCTCAACAGAAAAAACGGCTGTGGAGCAGTCTGCTCATATTGAAGAAATGTCTCTGCTTTTAACATCTTGACTTCAGCACAGGTTTTCTTTCTCAGAGCTGTCTCTTCCCAGTTTCCCTGGGCTAACTTTGCCTAATTTTTATCATAGTAATTGTCTCGGTAAAAGAACATTCCCTACCTCTGCAAATATATCACGCTGTATTTGCTTCTGTTTATACAGATCTTTTCTACATGATGGTGGAGGCATTGTTATTTATGTGTGTGTGTATGTGTGCGTGTATATGCACAATTAATTTTTTTACCACACAAATCTCTCCAGTTTTCCATCTTTTCAATGAAGCTTATTTAAGACCTGCAGGCAGATTATATTAATGCTTCATCAGACTTCCATTGTCCAGGCAACAGACAATACTCTGAATGAGTCCAAAAGAAAATCACTACCTGCTGATAGCCAGGGTAGATCTCACTTACCAGATGTCTGGCATTCATTGTTGCGAACTTGTTTAATTTCTGCACCCAGCAATGACAGTGTTTTGATCCTTCAAAGCAGAATGTGCTCTGTACCAATTGATTCCAAATGGCCTCTCTTTAGATTGAATTTTTATTTTATTTGGTTGAATGACTTTGTTTCATTTAAACCTGTATTTATGTGGAAAATTCAAATAATGCGTTCCAATTTGCATTTCAAAAAAAGAATCTTTGTGTTTATGAAATCACTTCTGAGTTGCAATTACAGTTATTTGTCTCTGGGATGTACAACACGTAATTGGGTCAACACTGTTAATGAGGGACTAGTGTTATTGTTAATGAGCTACTAGTGATAGTTTCAATGTTTCATCCCCAGCAGGTGGTAAATACAATATGTTAAGATAGATAATTATGTTAATGTTTCAAATATTCACAGACCAAAGATGTCATTAAAGACATGCAACTATGAGGTGAAAAGGTACAAATACATGAAGTCAAGTTTAAAAGGTACAAATACATGAAGTGAACTCTACCTTATCCAAAGGGTATTAGTCTTTCCTTCATAGAAACTTCACTGTATATCTCAGTGTCCAGGTCCTGTTAACTCGTAGATCTTCAAAATAGCAAGAAGGCTGCTTTCAGCTGGTTTCGGATGCTGTCAACTTGGGCAAGTACTGATTTTAACAGTTGGCCTTGAAATGATTAACTTTGTAGGATGAACATCATTCAGGTATTCAACACAATCTTAATTGTTCCATCCTGAGAAAGTCATTGTGTGGAACACTTACAATAAAAAACAGGCTGTTTCCCGCTAACAAAACATTTACAAACCATTAGAGAGGCAAGATGTATATATGTGAAATAGTTGGCAAGGCATAAGTACCAAATATGTAATAGAGACAATCAGGAACTTGAAAGAAAGAAAATGTGGACAGGAGTAGATGGAAAAGTCTTTATTGAGAAGAAAGTTTATGTCAGTTAGAGATGCTTTTGCTTGCAAGTACAGAATGCTTAATTAACATTGGCTTTAATAGTGAAAGCATTTAAATCTCTCACATATAAAAAAATTGAAGTTAGGAAATTCTAGGTTTAGAGCAGCAGCTTAAGGGTGTCATCAAAGACTCAAAATCCTTTCAGTCTTTTCTGCTTTGTTCAAAATGTCAGTAACATATAATATATTGTCACCAGATAACTTCTGCAGCTCTGCTCATTACATCTTCATCTACAGCCATCCCTGGCAGAAAGAGAATGGGGAAAAAAAGGAACTTCTTCTAAGCCCGTTTTAGAAAGGAAGACAAAAATATTCCCGCAGTCCTCAACAGATTTCCCTTCACATCACATTGGTGAGAACTGGACCTATGTTCTCCCTCTGAAGCAGCCGCTGGTGAAGGAAAACAAATCAGGATTGCCAAAAAGGCTTAGACCAGCCACAGATGACTGAGTTGCACCTGGAAGATCTTGGATCCACAAGCAACAAAACCAAATCAGGATCCCAGTTTGAAATGAAAAAGAGGGCAAGTGCTAAGTAGGGAACCAAACACTGAGCCAGGCTTCCATTTCCAGACCGTGGTTTCCATAGGCAGAATGGAAACCAGAGGCTGGGGGGCTGAGGCTGGAATGGAAGTAAATCACCAAATATTCTGCAGTCAAGTTCCAAAGCTGGTTTAAGAAGAACAATAACTATAGATTTGAGGAAATACAGGAGGAAGAAATACTAAAGAAGCTTCCGGTGGGTTTTGCAAATTACCTCTTGGCTTAGGATACTTTTGTCATGTAGTGTCTGTGATAGCTGTCAGATGATAATGTTGAAGTAGCTCAGAACATCAAATGTTACATGTGAGACAAATTTACCTAGATGGCTAGATTCTGCCAGCGAATCATAAAACTTTGGCCTCATTAACATCACTGGCCCATACCTAAACATTCACTGGAAAATTACTAGGAAAGCTTTCCAAAAATAAATATTCCCAGACTCCACACCAGGCCTTCTGAACCAAACCTCAACAGCTGGGCCCATGTACATCCCGGAGAGTGCTGTTAAGGCCACAAAAGCCAACAGATTGCTAGTTGTGGCAGTCAGCTATCATCAGGCTGTACCACGGTTACAACCTCAAACCCTGAGTGGATCACACAGCATGGGTTTATTTCTTAGTCACAGTGCACGTCAGCTGTGGGTTGACTCATTCTGTGGCTCTGCTGCATGTTTCTTCTACATGCTGACGATTGACTCCAGTGTTTCTCAACCCATTTCTACTCTTTTTAAAATATGTTTATGTACTTTATGTATATCTCTACTCTCATTTTTTTGCCAATTCCCCCACCCAAGAATCAATTATACGCCACTGAGGGCAGTATCACCCACATTGCAAATCTATAGTCTGGGCTGAAAAAGTAACGTCCATCCGCATCTCATGGAAAGGAGAAAACACTGGTGGGTAAACCATGCGATGCTCTCAGGGGTTCTGGTTGAACATGGCTCCTGTCCTGTCTGCTCATATTCTAACCACTGGCCAAATCAAGTCACGGGAACATGCTTAATGTTAGTGTGGTCACGAAGTATTCTCCTCCCATCAGGAAGGAATGGATGTTGCAAGATAATTTACAGGAATGGCAGATAAACATTTCAATCAGTAACACAATCTGCCACCCTGCATGTCCTTAAGGGATGTTAAAACAAAATAGAAATTTTATTTGCATGTTCCCATCAGAGCCATTATCTATCCATCTACTGTACCAATAAGATGCTACATATCACACTGCATCAAGAAACATGTAACCAGAGTGGGGATAGGGAACTATAATGCTAGCACAGTTTGAGTTTTTTAGTTTGGAGAAAAATGTAAAACTGAAAGGGGGTAATATCAAAGACCAAAAAAAAGAGATAATAGTCATACCTTGGGCTTATATGATACAATAGATTTGAGAAAGAATAGAATACTAGAACTAGAAATACCATAAAATTTGGAAGAAATTATCATAGAACAAATGAAAGAAGGTGTCATTTTATTCATTTGCAAAATATCTACTATATTCTAGTTGTGTGCTAATTCCTAGATTCACAGTTAAGATAACACAGAACTATCAACCAGGCACTTGATCTCTACTCAGATTATAGCCTAATATGAGGAAAGTGGGCTCTTTTTTTCAAAAAGAAGAAATTTTCAAAATTATGAAAATATTTTTATTTATTAATCACCTTTGATCCCAAAGATAGAAGAGGGACAAAATAACCTCTGCTCTTTTTACTTATTGTTTGTTTTCTAATGACAGAATCATATGGTGAAATGTACAGAGACATGCATTTGTTAACCCTAATCAATCTATTATTGTATAATTGGTTTTCAGTCATGGATGACCTCAAACACTGTTGTCTATAAAAGACTTTTAAAACAGATAAATATCCAGGTTCTTAAGCCCTGCCTTAACACTTCTAATGTATGGCCTTTTTCAAAGACACAAGTGTCCCTTATTAGTAGTTTACAGACTCTGATAAGAAAATAACACAAAGTCCAGAGCAAATATATAAGGAAAAATGAGCAAGTTCTCCCCTAGTCCTAGGGCCACTATAATTATGCCAAAACTTTACAAGAGTTCTCTCTCTCTTCAACTTCCAAAATCTCTCACTGAAACAAAATGTATGTGTGGGAATCAGTTTCTTTGTGGACAGGACAATAGTTGCATTGAACAAGAAATGCTTTTTTAATGGAACTTTACATTTGAATACTTGTACTAATATTTCCTAAAATGCACTGATAATAATAAATAATAATAAATGATAAGTTATCTCAATTGTTACCTTCTCTGAGACATGGAGATTGAAGTTTGTGAAGAATGTGGAGGCACTAAAAATATTTGCCAAGCATCAGTTCATTACTGTAACCAATAAGCAAATTTATAGATTATATTTCTCTCTCTTCTAAATATATATATTGAATTCTAGCATTGCTCTCTATTCTCGCTGTTATTGCTCTATTCCAGGCTGACATCATCTGCTTGGAAAACAAAACAACCTACAAGCAAAAAAAGTCTTCTGTTTCCACTCTATTCTTACTCCATCCCACGTAGCCAGAATGATCTTCCAAAAATGTAAACCTATTCATGATGCTGCTCCTCCACTATCTCCCCAAAATAATTTCAATAGGTTCCAGTAATCTCAGGACAGAGGACAAAGTAATTAACATTATTGCTGTGGCTTGAGCATTTGTGTTCCACCAAAATTTACAGGTTGGAACCTAATACCTAATGTGGTAGTATTAAGGTGGAGCCTTTGGGGAAGTGATTTAGTCCCTTGTGAATGAGAATAGTGCCCTTATAAAAGAGGCTGAAGGGAACTGCCTTGTCCCTTCTACCATGGGAGGACACAGCTAGAAGGTGCGATCCATGAAGCAGAGAACAAGCCCTCACCAGACACCAAATCCACTGGCACCTTTACCTTGAACTTTCTAGTCTTCCAACTGTGAGCAATAAATTTCTGTTGTTTATAAATAGCCCAGTCTAAAGGTATTTTTTTACTGTGGCCCAACAGATGAGGACAACTCACAAGACGTGTGGTAATTTGTGCCCTGCTTTCCTCTCTAGTTTCATCTCCCATCCAGTCAGTTCCAGAGCTCGCCATCTTTGCTCCCAATTCTGGGCCCTTAGTTGACTATTACATTTCATAGATTATTTTCCCCTCTTTCCATCCCTTCTAAGTTGGTAAAACTCTGTTCATGTGACCTTTCTTTTAGGTTTCTGCTTCCATGTTGCTTCCACTTAGAAAGCCTTCCCTTACCATCTCTTTAAGACCAAAAGAGATGTGTCTTGTGTGTTTTTATTGCATGTTAACTTCTCATATAGCCCTTATCATACTGCATTGTCACTTGCCTGCTTCCTTCTCCATATCCCCTCACAAATACCC
This sequence comes from Homo sapiens, assembly GCF_000001405.40. Lineage (NCBI taxonomy): Eukaryota > Metazoa > Chordata > Mammalia > Primates > Hominidae > Homo > Homo sapiens. The sequence continues at coordinate 51,749,309 of NC_000018.10, read as the reverse complement.
CCACTTCAGGTTATAAACTTAATGCAGACACAAACCATGTCTGTACTGTCTCACTGTTCTGTTTTCAGAACCTAGTATAGTACCTAGCACGTAGTCTTTATTAATGAATATTTGTTTAACAGATAAGTGCTGGTGGCATCTTGTTCTAGCCCAGTAAGAAAAGTGGGTAGAGCTAACCCATAGCAGTGAGCATGGAAATAAAGATTTTATAAAACCTGGAAGCTGGAACATCCAACCCATGGAGCTGAGAGCAAAGTAACATTGATTCCAAAGCTAAGTGTCTCTGATGGCTGTCAGACAAAATGGGAGGCCAGGTTTGAGGAGCAGAGCTATGAGTGATCACCAGAGGCAAGCGACTAAAAGACGAGAGACCTTGCATCATACTCCCCATGACCTAGGCAGAGGGTGAGGATGGAGCCAATGAAAACACATGGGCCAGTTGGACAGCATGGAGATCTGAGACACTTGGGAGCCAAGAATGACACAACTGTCCACAAAATCCAGCCCCCTCAGGACTGTTGCCTTGAAAGCTTAAGGTCAAACTTTAGTCTAACATTGTCCTATGATTTAGTCTTTTCTTTTCCTAAGTGTCCAATAGAACAAGTCTTTTTAGGGAAAGACAAAGCTTTTCATAAAAAGTCTGTATTTACTGGAGTACTCCCACAAAACCAAGCAGATAAACAAGCTATGCATCTTAGTTTGTATAGACTTAATAGTTCCAAAGCTTTGACGTATATCATTTCAGTTTTTTTTTTAATTTTGTAGGTACATAGTAGGTATATATATTTATGGGGTAGATGAGCTCTTCTGGTACATGTATAGAGTGTGTAATCACATCAGAGTAAGTGAGGTATCCATCACCTCAAGCACTCATTTCTTTGAGTTATGAACATTCCAATTGTACTCCCTCAGTTATTCTAAAATGTACAACAAATTATTGCTGACTGTAGCTACCCTATTGTGCTACCAAATACTAGTTATTATGTTCTCACTTATTTGCAGGAGCTAAAAATTAAAACGATTGAACTCATAGAGATAGAAAGTAGAATGACGGCTACCAGAGACTGGTAATAGTAGTGGGGCAGGAATAGGAAGTGGAAATGGTTAATGACCATAAATATATAGTTAGATATTATTTCATTTTTTTAAAGCACACCCTAAATGAGCAAACTGCAGCACATCCAAACAATGGAATACTACTGAGCAATATAAAGGAACTACTAGTGACACAGGCAACAACATGGATAAATTTTATATGCATTACCATGAGTTAAATAAGCCAGACACAAATGGCTACTAAGGGGAAAAATAATAATTTTTTTCAACAATAGGCTTTTAGTCAAAGTGGACCCCTGGAATGAGACAGATTAACAAGAGAAGAACAAACAGAAGTTTACGAATATGTATATTTCCTATGTACATGGAAAACACCCAGGAAATGGGTAGTTCTCCAAGAGGTGACTTTGAATTTCAGCTTATACACATCTTCAACAAAGAACAGTAAATTTTTAGAGAAGTGACCAGACAAAAGAAAAGGATTTTGAGTCTCCAGGGATGGCAGCTTGAGGGAAGGCAAACAACTGACAGTTAAAGGCTAGTTGAAAAACAGGAACTCCTCTCTAAATCATTTTATGAGACCAGCATCCTCCCGATACCAAAACCTGACAGAGATACAACAAAAAAAGAAAACTTCAGGCCATCATCCCTGATGAACATCAGTGCAAAAATCCTCAATAAAATACTGGCAAACCAAATCCAGCAGCACATCAAAAAGCTTATCCACTATGGTCAAGTCAGCTTCATCCCTGGGATGCAAGGCTGGTTCAACATTTGCAAATCAATAAATATAGTTTATCACACAAACAGAACTAATGACAAAAACCACATGATTATCTCAATAGATGCAGAAAAGGCCTTTGATAAAATTCAACGTAAAAAAAAAAACTCCCAGTAAACTAGGTATTGATGGAACATATCTCAAAATAATAAGAGCCATTTATGACAAACCCATAGACAATATCATACTGAATGGGCAAAAGCTGGAAGCATTCTCCTTGAAAACTGGCACAAGACAAGGATGCCCTCTTGCACTACTTCTCTGGTACAATCTTTAGGCTGCTAAGCATTCAAAGATGTCTTCAGTAGTTAACATTTGTTCTTCCTGGTAGAGAAGCGGGCAGGATACCTTTTGTATTTGTCAACGTATGTCCTGTTTTTAGGAAACTAGAGGGAGGGCAGAGAGCTTGTATTAGACCTTAAGGGAAAGAATGTAGGAAGGAAAAAAATTCCCTTCACATATATGAAATATAAGTTAAAGTACTATTATTTCCATTTATAAATTGGTGAACTGACTGAGAGGTTAAAAACTACTCACTTGAGGTTGCATGTCTAATTAATGAAGATTCCGAAATAAAATCATAACATTCACCAGTCAAAGCAATCAGATTCATGTCATGGTGAACAGAGCGATAGGCTTAGCACTGGATGACCACCTGTATTTGACTCTTAGATTTGGAACATGCACTTTGACCATGGGTTATTATTTAACTTTCCTGGGCTTCATTTCCTTGTTCATAAAATGGACATGATATCTACTCACAGACATATGATATTTTATGTAAAAATATATCTTTTTTTTTTTAACTTTTTTTTTTTTTTATACTTTAAGTTTTAGGGTACATGTGCACATTGTGCAGGTTAGTTACATATATATACATGTGCCACGCTGGTGCGCTGCACCCACTAACTCGTCATCTAGCATTAGGTATATCTCCCAATGCTATCCCTCCCCCCTCCCCTCACCCCACCACAGTCCCCAGAGTGTGATATTCCCCTTCCTGTGTCCATGTGATCTCATTGTTCAATTCCCACCTATGAGTGAGAATATGCGGTGTTTGGTTTTTTGTTCTTGCGATAGTTTACTGAGAATGATGGTTTCCAATTTCATCCATGTCCCTACAAAGGACATGAACTCATCATTTTTTATGGCTGCATAGTATTCCATGGTGTATATGTGCCACATTTTCTTAATCCAGTCTATCATTGTTGGACATTTGGGTTGGTTCCAAGTCTTTGCTATTGTGAATAATGCCACAATAAACATACATGTGCATGTGACTTTACAGCAGCATGATTTATAGTCATTTGGGTATATACCCAGTAATGGGATGGCTGGGTCAAATGGTATTTCTAGTTCTAGATCCCTGAGGAATCGCCACACTGACTTCCACAATGGTTGAACTAGTTTACAGTCCCACCAACAGTGTCAAAGTGTTCCTATTTCTCCACATCCTCTCCAGCACCTGTTTTTTCCTGACTTTTGAATGATTGCCATTCTAACTGGTGTGAGATGATATCTCATAGTGGTTTTGATTTGCATTTCTCTGATGACCAGTGATGATGAGCATTTTTTCATGTGTTTTTTGGCTGCATAAATGTCTTCTTTTGGGAAGTGTCTGTTCATGTCCTTCGCCCACTTTTTGATGGGGTTGTTTGTTTTTTTCTTGTAAATTTGTTTGAGTTCATTGTAGATTCTGGATATTAGCCCTTTGTCAGATGAGTAGGTTGCGAAAATTTTCTCCCATGTTGTAGGTTGCCTGTTCACTCTGATGGTAGTTTCTTTTGCTGTGCAGAAGCTCTTTAGTTTAATTAGATCCCATTTGTCAATTTTGGCTTTTGTTGCCATTGCTTTTGGTGTTTTGGACATGAAGTCCTTGCCCACGCCTATGTCCTGAATGGTAATGCCTAGGTTTTCTTCTAGGGTTTTTATGGTTTTAGGTCTAACGTTTAAATCTTTAATCCATCTTGAGTTGATTTTTGTATAAGGTGTAAGGAAGGGATCCAGTTTCAGCTTTCTACATATGGCTAGCCAGTTTTCCCAGCACCATTTATTAAATAGGGAATCCTTTCCCCATTGCTTGTTTTTCTCAGGTTTGTCAAAGATCAGATAGTTGTAGGTATGCGGCGTTATTTCTGAGGGCTCTGTTCTGTTCCATTGATCTATATCTCTGTTTTGGTACCAGTACCATGCTGTTTTGGTTACTGTAGCCTTGTAGTATAGTTTGAAGTCAGGTAGTGTGATGCCTCCATCTTTGTTCTTTTGGCTTAGGATTGACTTGGCGATGTGGGCTCTTTTTTGGTTCCATATGAACTTTAAAGTAGTTTTTTCCAATTCTGTGAAGAAAGTCATTGGTAGCTTGATGGGGATGGCATTGAATCTGTAAATTACCTTGGGCAGTATGGCCATTTTCACGATATTGATTCTTCCTACCCATGAGCATGGAATGTTCTTCCATTTGTTTGTATCCTCTTTTATTTCCTTGAGCAGTGGTTTGTAGTTCTCCTTGAAGAGGTCCTTCACATCCCTTGTAAGTTGGATTCCTAGGTATTTTATTCTCTTTGAAGCAATTGTGAATGGGAGTTCACTCATGATTTGGCTCTCTGTTTGTCTGTTGTTGGTGTATAAGAATGCTTGTGATTTTTGTACATTGATTTTGTATCCTGAGACTTTGCTGAAGTTGCTTATCAGCTTAAGGAGATTTTGGGCTGAGACGATGGGGTTTTCTAGATAAACAATCATGTCGTCTGCAAACAGGGACAATTTGACTTCCTCTTTTTTCCTAATTGAATACCCTTTATTTCCTTCTCCTGCCTGATTGCCCTGGCCAGAACTTCCGACACTATGTTGAACAGGAGTGGTGAGAGAGGGCATCCCTGTCTTGTGCCCGTTTTCAAAGGGAATGCTTCCAGTTTTTGCCCATTCAGTATGATATTGACTGTGGGTTTGTCATAGATAGCTCTTATTATTTTGAAATACGTCCCATCAATACCTAATTTATTGAGAGTTTTTAGCATGAAGGGTTGTTGAATTTTGTCAAAGGCTTTTTCTGCATCTATTGAGATAATCATGTGGTTTTTGTCTTTGGCTCTGTTTATATGCTGGATTACATTTATTGATTTGCGTATATTGAACCACCCTTGCATCCCAGGGATGAAGCCCACTTGATCATGGTGGATAAGCTTTTTGATGTGCTGCTGGATTCAGTTTGCCAGTATTTTATTGAGGATTTTTGCATCGCTATTCATCAGGGATATTTGTCTAAAATTCTCTTTTTTGGTTGTGTCTCTGCCCGGCTTTGGTATCAGAATGATGCTGGCCCCATAAAATGAGTTAGGGAGGATTCCCTCTTTTTCTATTGATTGGAATAGTTTCAGAAGGAATGGTACCAGTTCCTCCTTGTACCTCTGGAAGAATTCGGCTGTGAATCCATCTGGTCCTGGACTCTTTTTGGTTGGTAAACTATTGATTATTGCCACAATTTCAGCTCCTGTTATTGGTCTATTCAGAGATTCAACTTCTTCCTGGTTTAGTCTTGGGAGAGTGTAGGTGTCGAGGAATGTATCCATTTCTTCTAGGTTTTCTAGTTTATTTGTGTAGAGGTGTTTGTAGTATTCTCTGATGGTAGTTTGTATTTCTGTGGGATTGGTGGTGATATCCCCTTTATCATTTTTTATTGTGTCTATTTGATTCTTCTCTCTTTTTTTCTTTATTAGTCTTGCTAGCGGTCTATCGATTTTGTTGATCCTTTCAAAAAACCAGCTCCTGGATTCATTGATTTTTTGAAGGGTTTTTTGTGTCTCTATTTCCTTCAGTTCTGCTCTGATTTTAGTTATTTCTTGCCTTCTGCTAGCTTTTGAATGTGTTTGCTCTTGCTTTTCTAGTTCTTTTAATTGTGATGTTAGGGTGTCAATTTTGGATCTTTCCTGCTTTCTCTTGTGGGCATTTAGTGCTATAAATTTCCCTCTACACACTGCTTTGAATGCGTCCCAGAGATTCTGTTATGTTGTGTCTTTGTTCTCGTTGGTTTCAAAGAACATCTTTATTTCTGCCTTCATTTCGTTATGTACCCAGTAGTCATTCAGGAGCAGGTTGTTCAGTTTCCATGTAGTTGAGCGGCTTTGAGTGAGATTCTTAATCCTGAGTTCTAGTTTGATTGCACTGTGGTCTGAGAGATAGTTTGTTATAATTTCTGTTCTTTTACATTTGCTGAGGAGAGCTTTACTTCCAACTATGTGGTCAATTTTGGAATAGGTGTGGTGTGGTGCTGAAAAAAATATATATTCTGTTGATTTGGGGTGGAGAGTTCTGTAGATGTCTATTAGGTCCGCTTGGTGCAGAGCTGAGTTCAATTCCTGGGTATCCTTGTTGACTTTCTGTCTCTTTGATCTGTCTAATGTTGACAGTGGGGTGTTAAAGTCTCCCATTATTAATGTGTGGGAGTCTAAGTCTCTTTGTAGGTCACTCAGGATTTGCTTTATGAATCTGGGTGCTCCTGTATTGGGTGCATATATATTTAGGATAGTTAGCTCCTCTTGTTGAATTAATCCCTTTACCATTATGTAATGGCCTTCTTTTTCTCTTTTGATCTTTGTTGGTTTAAAGTCTGTTTTATCAGAGACTAGGATTGCAACCCCTGCCTTTTTTTGTTTTCCATTTGCTTGGTAGATCTTCCTCCATCCTTTTATTTTGATCCTATGTGTGTCTCTGCACGTGAGATGGGTTTCCTGAATACAGCACACTGATGGGTCTTGACTCTTTATCCAACTTGCCAGTCTGTGTCTTTTAATTGGAGAATTTAGTCCATTTACATTTAAAGTTAATATTGTTATGTGTGAATTTGATCCTGTCATTATGATGTTAGCTGGTGATTTTGCTCATTAGTTGATGCAGTTTCTTCCTAGTCTCGATGGTCTTTACATTTTGGCATGATTTTGCAGCGGCTGGTACCGGTTGTTCCTTTCCATGTTTAGCGCTTCCTTCAGGAGGGCTTCCTTTAGGGCAGGGCTGGTGGTGACAAAATCTCTCAGCATTTGCTTGTCTGTAAAGTATTTTATTTCTCCTTCACTTATGAAGCTTAGTTTGGCTGGATATGAAATTCTGGGTTGAAAATTCTTTTCTTTAAGAATGTTGAATATTGGCCCCCACTCTCTTCTGGCTTGTAGGGTTTCTGCCAAGAGAACCGCTGTTAGTCTGATGGGCTTCCCTTTGAGGGTAACCCGACCTTTCTCTCTGGCTGCCCTTAACATTTTTTCCTTCATTTCAACTTTGGTGAATCTGACAATTATGTGTCTTGGAGTTGCTCTTCTCGAGGAGTATCTTTGTGGCATTCTCTGTATTTCCTGAATCTGAACGTTGGCCTGCCTTGCTAGATTGGGGAAGTTCTCCTGGATAATATCCTGCAGAGTGTTTTCCAACTTGGTTCCATTCTCCGCATCACTTTCAGGTACACCAATCAGACGTAGATTTGGTCTTTTCACATAGTCCCATATTTCTTGGAGGCTTTGCTCATTTCTTTTTATTCTTTTTTCTCTAAACTTCCCTTCTCGCTTCATTTCATTCATTTCATCTTCCATTGCTGATACCCTTTCTTCCAGTTGATCGCATCGGCTCCTGAGGCTTCTGCATTCTTCACGTAGTTCTCAAGCCTTGGTTTTCAGCTCCATCAGCTCCTTTAAGCACTTCTCTGTATTGGTTATTCTAGTTATACATTCTTCTAAATTTTTTTCAAAGTTTTCAACTTCTTTGCCTTTGGTTTGAATGTCCTCCCGTAGCTCAGAGTAATTTGATCGTCTGAAGACTTCTTCTCTCAGCTCGTCAAAATCATTCTCCATCCAGCTTTGTTCCGTTGCTGGTGAGGAACTGCGTTCCTTTGGAGGAGGAGAGGCGCTCTGCGTTTTAGAGTTTCCAGTTTTTCTGTTCTGTTTTTTCCCCATCTTTGTGGTTTTATCTACTTTTGGTCTTTGATGATGGTGATGTACAGATGGGTTTTCGGTGTGGATGTCCTTTCTGTTTGTTAGTTTTCCTTCTAACAGACAGGACCCTCAGCTGCAGGTCTGTTGGAATACCCTGCCGTGTGAGGTGTCAGTGTGCCCCTGCTGGGGGGTGCCTCCCAGTTAGGCTGCTCGGGGGTCAGGGGTCAGGGACCCACTTGAGGAGGCAGTCTGCCCGTTCTCAGATCTCCAGCTGCGTGCTGGGAGAACCACTGCTCTCTTCAAAGCTGTCAGACAGGGACATTTAAGTCTGCAGAGGTTACTGGTGTCTTTTTGTTTGTCTGTGCCCTGCCCCCAGAGGTGGAGCCTACAGAGGCAGGCAGGTCTCCTTGAGCTGTGGTGGGCTCCACCCAGTTCGAGCTTCCCCAGCTGCTTTGTTTACCTAAGCAAGCCTGGGCAATGGCGGGCGCCCCTCCCCCAGCCTCGCTGCCGCCTTGCAGTTTGATCTCAGACTGCTGTGCTAGCAATCAGCGAGACTCCATGGGCGTAGGACCCTCCGAGCCAGGTGTGGGATATAGTCTCGTGGTGCACCGTTTTTTAAGCCGGTCTGAAAAGCGCAATATTCAGGTGGGAGTGACTCGATTTTCCAGGTGCGTCCGTCACCCCTTTCTTTGACTCAGAAAGGGAACTCCCTGACCCCTTGCGCTTCCCAGGTGAGGCAATGCCTCGCCCTGCTTCGGCTCGCGCAGGGTGCGCGCACCCACTGGCCTGCGCCCACTGTCTGGCACTCCCTACTGAGATGAACCGGGTACCTCAGATGGAAATGCAGAAATCACCCGTCTTCTGCGTCGCTCATGCTGGGAGCTGTAGACCGGAGCTGTTCCTATTCGGCCATCTTGGCTCCTCCCTGTAAAAATATATCTTAACTTCAGTTGCGGTAACAAAATATCAGAGACTGTGTGGCTTAAGGAATAGACACTGTTTCTCATAGCTCTGGAGGCTGGCAACTCTAAGATCAAGGCACTGGTGGACTTGGACTTGGTTTCTATGAGAACTGAGGATCCTCTTCCTAGTTTGCAAATGGCAGCCTTCTCACTGTGCCCCCTCATGGCACAGAGAGAGAGAAAGTAAGCTCTAGTCACTTTCTCTCCTAATAAGGATGCTAATCCCATCATGAGGGCCCCACCCTCATAACCTCATTGAAACTTAATTAGCTTCTAAAGGCCTCATCTCCAAATACCATCACCTTGGGGGTTATAGCTCCAATATATCAACTTGAAGGGGCACAAATCAATGCAAATCAATCAGTATTTCCTTCCTTTCTATTCTTCTGGTGTCCGGTACAGACCAGTGCACAATCAGTGGATGGGCTAGAAGAAATTTTGCTTTTTAACTCAGCATATTTCCTGTGGGGGAGAATCCTACAGAAAATGGAGACTGTTGTCATCACCCTCCTCAGATCCAGGAGCTGCTCTTTCATGCAACATTAACACACAGAATCTACAGTTTTATTTCTCATTCTTTCACTACACCAGAACTAGATTCCAGATGATTATCAGATGAGTTCTTAACAACATCTTTACTGCTCCTCATTCCTAATGCCTAACACATTGTCTGGCATGCAGTTGGTGCTGAATAAATATCTGTGGGATATAGAGATGGTTGAATGTTTATAGTCAGTTCATTGCATTTTATGTGTTATCTACTATAAAAAATATTTTATGTTTGATATTTCTGTGCAAGTGAGCATCATTTTCAGAAATGAGGATTTACATACAGCTAACTTAGGAGAAGTGATTATGGCAGCAATACGTAGAAAGCAAGGATAAAAACTCTCGAACTTGACATTTAGCTTACCTTACACCATTAAAAGAAATATTGCAAAATATTTTACAGAAACACTAAATCCTTAGAGAAAAATAAATGCAACAAGTGGAAATGTAAATAATTAACAAGGGTACTTTTTGTTTGTGTCTTGTTCATCTTTGTTCCTCATTTGTCTGCATTAACAAAGGTCACGGTCTTTAATCTGTGCATGACTCATTCGCACCTGGAGATCCTCTGCATCTGACTTTTTTCTCTCTTAGTGCATTATCTCTTTTTATCACAATTTTATGTTATTGTGTTAAAATACATGTAAGATTTACCCTCTTTGCCAATTTTAAATATACCATTCAGTTGTATTAAATACATTTATAATGTGGTACAGCCATATCCACCATCCATCTCCACAACTCTTTCATCTTATAAAACTGAAACTCTGTACCCATGAACAATAACTCTCTATTCCCTCCTCCCCTCAGTCTCTGGCAACAACCATTCTACTTAATGTCTCTATTAGTTTGACTACTCTAAGTATCTCATATAAATTGAATTATACAGTATTTGTGGATTTTTTTTGTGTGACTGACTTGTTTCACTTAGCATTATGCTCTCTAGGTTCATCCATGTTGTGGTATATGTAAGAATTTCCCTCCTAATGCTGGATCATAGTCTACTGTATGTATACACCATATTTTGCTTATCCATGCATCTGTTGATGGAACTTGGGTTGCTTCCATGTTTTAGCTATCATGGATAGTGCTGTTATATACATGGGTGTACACATATGTTTTCCATACCCTGCTCTCAATATTCTACCTTCAATTCTTTTGGGTATACTACTGGAAGTGAATCACTGGATCATATAATTCTGTTTTTAATTTTTTTTTAAAAAAAACTTCCATACTGTATTTTACAGTGTCTGTGCCATTTTACATTGCCACCTGTTGGGGGCTCTGCCCATATCCTCGCTAATACTTGTTGTTTTTCTTATTTTCTGATAGAAGACATTCTAATGGGTATGAAGTGGTATCATGTAGTGCTTTTGATTCACATTTTCCTTTTATGTTTAGTAATATTGAGCATTTTTTCATGTGCTTATTGGCCAATTTTGTATCTTCTTTGGATAATTGTCCATTCCAGTCCTTTGCTCATTTTGGAATTGGGCTGTGGTTTTCCTTGTTGTTGATTACTTTCAGGAGTTCTCATCTCTTCTGGATATTAATCCCTTATCAGAAACATAACTTGCTGATATTTTCTCCCATTCTGTAGCTAGTATTTTAACTCTGCTGATAGTATCTTTTGATGCACAGAATTTTTTAAAGGTTTTATAAAGTCACATTTGTCTGTTTTGTTGTTGTTGTTGCCTCTGCCTTTTATATCATATCCAAGAAACCACTGCCAAATTCAGTGCCATGAAGCTTTTGCCCAATGTTTTTTTCTAAGAGTTTTACAGTTTCAGGGCTTACCTTTTGGTCTTTGATTCATTTTGAATTACTTTTTGTAAATCTTCTTAGGTAAAAGTCCAACTTCATTCTTTTGTATAGAGATATCGCACATTATCTTTTATCATTTTAATTGTAGAGTAAAATATGAGAGTGTATCCAATCCATGGGAGGAGGCCCAGCCACGTCTCTTGGATTCCTTAACTTCTAGAGGCATGTTGTCCTAACTTCCAATAGCCAGCACTTTCACAGCTGGCAGAGCATAGCCCAGGGCTGCCAAAACCCATTTGCATGCAGCAATATAGACCAGAATTATCTGGGAATTAGCACCCCCCAGGGACAGCTCTTAACCAGTAATAACTAGCTTGGAGCTATACTTCATCTCTCATCCCTTGACCTGGATAATTCTGAAACACTTTCCAGCATTCCCCCATAAGATCAAAGTCCAGTGTGCAAGTGTGGTAGCTGGCTTAACAGTGTACCTTTTACTGGCTGCCCTCCCTTCCCTGTCTCACTTCTTCCCCCTGCACACCCTGCAGGTCCTTCTTGTATCTCCCATTAAACTATTTGCACTTGAATCCTCACATCAGGCTCTGGCTCTGACGGAAACCGAACTAAGACAAGGAAGAAGAAAAGAGACATCAAGAATAGTCTATGGAGAGCCCTTTCCACGGCTATACCATGGAGTCTCCTTTCCTTAACCATCTTTCCTCTTTTGTCAGGATCTCCCCCTAGTGTCTATAAACTTCTAGCTAAGGCATTTGGGGAGAAACGAATGACCCCAAAAATGAATGACAATAATTTCTCAGACTTCTACTTGACTCAAAATTAGTGTCTCCAAATATGATGCACTGCTTCCTCTAGATAAGAGGAATTTAGAAACCAGAGCCTCTTTTTTATTTATTTTCAACTCCTGACAGAGCAATGGCTAATGTCACCACTGCAATAGATTTCCAGGAGCTTGTCTAATTAATATCAAAATTATAAAGTCAGAGAGTACTTTAGAGGACATTGAGGGAGTCCTCAGACCCATCCATTATGAAGCCCAAGTGATCCCCTTTAACAACAGCAATAAAACTGCCACACTGAATCTCTCTCTTATGCCATAAAGAATGAGAGGAACATGATCCCCATCCTCACAGGGTCTCCTCTTTGGAATTTATCCCCATGGCCAGAAAGAAGATGCATGTCCACCTGTCAGAGGAGACCCCTCTGCACTCAAACCAGTACCTCCTCACTCATCCCAAATATCGAGCCACACTAATGGTTTCTAAATGCCAATCTGCCACTGGTGCTTTGTGTAAAGACATTTTCACAAATCCACCAGTAAAACAGAACAATAAATACAATGTGGAGTGTTCTTCAGGCTAAATGCATTCATTTTTTTAAGCTGTCCCATATCCTTATAGTATGTGTCTCCTCTTTGGTGGGTATCAAAATTTCTTGAATTTTTCATAAGAGATGATAATAAACATTTGTTGCTTTTTTTTACGTGGCCAAGTTACCCATTTTGAAATTTTTCTAATTGTGTGACATCCAAGAGTTTAGGAATCAGCAGCCCATAGGACTATCTTAAGACAAAATTGGAGAAGACAAAGTTGGACATGTCACTCCCTGTCCAGAGACCATATCCGTTTAGGCAATTCTGAATTTCCCTCTAGCTCCTGACTGCATCCAAAAGGTGTTATTCTGAAGACCTGTCCCTACCTCTTTGCATCCTCCATTGAGAAGCCAGTTGAATTCTTAAAGCAATATTTATGAATCAGCTACTAAGTGCTGAGAGCTATAAAAAGAAATAAATACTCATTTCTAAGATGCCCCTAATTCAATAAAGGAGATAGATCCCTGTAAGATAAATATACAAAAATCTTAGAATAATACTGGAGGAAAACAAAGTTATGAGGACAAAGAAGAGGGAACACCTCTGCAAGGTGCTGGGAGCTCCACAGATGAGGGCCCTGATTTATTTCTGTTTTAAAATTTTTTCTTTAATAATTTTATTGTATATATTATTTACAACATACAAGATTCCCTGGAGACAAAGGGAACCACGTTCCAATAAAATGTTACCATCACTTTTGTTTCTGTCACTGTCATAAGGATCCAGGCATAAATAGATACACATGTCTATTTAATATACACATCTCCATAGTGACTATTTGATAGAGAATTATATACAGGCTAAGTAAGAAAAGTCTACTTGGACAAAGATGGGTGGCTATTATTTTTTATGCACATAATTTAGTGTGCTTAGAAAAATGTTGATCAGCTGCAATTGGCTGTAGCCGGCCAAAGGATAGCATTCAAGTGATTATAGACTTGGTAGAAGTGGAAAGTTAACTGACTCATCCAGGTGTTATGCCCACAGAAAGAAACAGTATCAGAGGGGCCTCTATAGGATTTGGCCAAGTTTTAAATCATAATTGTTATTGTCCAGGAAACAGTAAAACAAAACAAAATAAGAATCATATCAATCTAGTTATGCTGTAAACTTCTGTGTGTAAGCCAATTCCTGTGCAGCTTTAGGAATATAAAGGCACCTTGCTATTCACATGGGTTCATTTGTTTCTTCTTAGTTTTCAGTCTCAAAGAATCTTGAAGGGCAATGAAGAATGAAATCACTAGCTTATGTGTACTGGGTTTAATAAACTGGTTAATTCATCCTTTCAATACTCTTTTAATTAGATCAGTGAAAGTTAGTGTTTTGCAGAAAATCTGTGCCTATTATTTTCAGGAAAATATTTCCATTCTACAAATGATCAATGAACTTGTGGGAAAAAAATTTAATTCACTAGTTATCAAGGAATGCAAATTCATATAGGAAGAGCTTAAAATGGTTAATCTATCAGATTATAAAGGATGAGCAAAAATGTTAGTGTTCACTGTGTTTGAGGGTATGGGGAAAGAATGTTCTCCTACTATATTCCTAGTGAGATTGTAAATTGTTCCAACTTTCCCAGAGGGCATTTTGGTCTATATATCAAAAGTCTCAACGAATGCACATATCCTTTGACTTAAAAATTCCACTTGTTGGAATTGGTCCTAAGGAAATAAATGGAAATAGGCTGCAACTAAAAATAATTTTTAAATACAGCAGTAGGATATTGTATTTCACTATTATGATTCATCCACAAGACAGAATGCAATGCAATCTTTAAATATAAAGATGCCAGTCTATAATTGGTGATGTGAAAAGATGCTCATGATAAATGTAGACAAAAAGAAAATAGGTTACAAAACAAATGTAATGGTGATTCCATTTGAGCGAAAGATACATGTTATGTACCCAGTAGCCCATATGCACACACAAAAAATTGAGGAGATATAATTTAAAATAGTAACCGTAGTTTTATTACTATAGAGGAATTATTAGTGACTTAAATTTTTCATTTAAATATTTTTTACACGGTTATTTGATAAATGGTAATGGGAGAGGTGGACAGCCAGATGGGGACTGAGCTGAAGGCAGGAGTAGCACAGTCAAGTAGAAACAGGCAATTAAGGCTTGGACCAACTCTGTCATCCCTTAATGAAGCATAAACTGTCACTTTCCCTTTCGAGTCTTGAGTTTCCTCAGATATCATATAAAGGGAATGAATCAGATCTTCTCTAACTCTACTCTAGACCTTTCAGCCCAGGAGATTTAGAATGAATGCTATAACTTGAATACCAAGAGAGACTCAAACCTTTGATTCTAATTACTGGCAACAAAGCCAGAAGATTCATCACAAAGATACCACCAGGATTTATTCATCTCTCAATGGTCTAAGCAGAGCATTTGTGGAGGGAAAGTGGGAAACCTCAGGGAATACAGCATATTTTAACTGATCAGTGTTGCATTAGGACTAAATTACTAATATTCTCTGAGGTTTATCACTTCTAGGTTGGTCCACTGAACTGGTGGGGATAAGGATCTAGGGGAAAATCCTGAGGAGCCTGTTCAATTTCATGACCCACCAGATTTAAAACACATAGAGTTGGTTACAGGGAGAGAAAATGACCAGACTCCATTCCACCTAGCAGCATTATTGAAAATTTAGTTAAAAGTCAGTGTCTTTATTACCCTACTCTCCCAAACTAGGCCAAATAGTTGTAAAACGCTCCATAATGCTTAACCATCTCCACCACTGACCTGAAGTTACTGACCTCCAACGAAAGAAGACATTAGGAGGAATAAGGTTAAGCCATGCAGAAGAGAATAATTTAATTTTGTAATAGCCTTTGTTGAAGTAACGATACCCCAGGGCAATGGGAGACATTCAAGTTTAAATTTCTTTGAACTTACCAAGCAGCTCCCCCTTTCCCCTTTACTGTCTTTTCCCTTCCTTCAGGATTTAATTCCACCCATGCCACATGTAGATAGCAGCCAACATACCTTTCTTCCCTGGACTTGTCCAGTTTCTTCATTGTCTCATGGACCTAGCGTGTTCTTTGCTCAGTTCTGTTTGAGGAATATACCTCTCTCCTTCCCCCTACTCCAGGCCAGCCAGATCATTTTCATCAATTTATCAAAGGTGACATATAGCCCTTCAGACCCCTTCAGTTTCCATCAAATATGATGTTCAATCATATTCTTCCTTGGCTACTGATATGTTTAGTATGTCTCTGTTTTATACCTCCAGAATGGAGGCTTCTTCAGGGGAAAGACCATGTCCTATAGCTCTCTGTGTTCCCTGAAGTACTTCATAAGTACCTGTGAAGCATTCTATAAATCTCTTTAAACAGGGAATTAAGTGGATGATAAATAAATGCATGTCCACGGACTAGTAAGAACCATATCCACATATGGTATCAAGCCTAAAAGAAAATGTATATCCTTCAACCCTCCTAAGAAATGCCCATCGGTTGTTGGGGACATCTCACAACATGTGCATCAAGAGTGGAGCTAGGGAGTAGACCTGCTGCAGGAGCACAGGGTATCCTCCAAGGCTGCCTGTAGAGGATGCAGTTAGTGAGGAGTGGGATTCCACACTGGAAAACATAGGTGGGCTGATACAGACTTGAGGGAAGGCCCATTGGACATTTGGTACCTAATAATTTCTCAAATTTATTAATATCTCCTGGATCCCATAGGGAAAGACAGAAGCTGACCCAGTTGATAAACTCACTTGACTTTTGCAGTGTGGCAATTCTATTCCTGCATCCAGACCTGGGTATTTATGCAGGACCTTTACTGTGGCTGCTAAAAGAAGTTGCAAGGGCAATTACCTTCCTCCAACCTGCTGATGACCATCGGCTAGTGGATGGACGTGGAGGACTCCAGCCACACGCCCCCAGCAGCTCTCTCCCAGAGCCTGCTCATTAGGCCCTTTCACAGCTGGCTAGGACCGAGTGGGGGGCAGAGCTATGGTTGGATCTGCTTTGCAGCTAACATCATTTGGAGTGAAGGTATTTTTAACCTTGCTCAGTTTTCCAAGATGAGAAGCAGAGAGTGATACAGATACTGCAATGTATGCTTTGTGGGATTATTGTGGATGCAAACTTGAGACCTTCCTAGCACAGAAGGGCTTGCTGATGAACTCTGGCTATCCCTGACAGCTGAGGAATTCTGTGATAAGACTGACACAAAATTGCTCTTATTAAAAATTAGCACACAGCTCAGTACCTAGGACATTCTCTCTCTCTCTCTCTCTCTCTGTCTCTCTCTCTCTGTCTCTCTCTGTGTGTGTGTGTGTGTGTGTGTGTGTGGAGAGAGAGAGTAGAAAGAAAGGCAAAGAGTATTATGTCTGGTCTTATAGAAGTGTCTTTAACATTTTACTATTTGAAAAAAATTATGAAAATGATGGCATAAGCAGAATTTTTCAGAAAGAGAAAATACCCAAAGAATTATACTTCAAAACTTAAAGTGATGTTCGGTGCAGTATAATCATGGGTATTGTAGATGTATTTCCCCTTTCTGTGATGATGATTTTTTTATTATAAGCATTCATTAATCAGAAAATCAGAATTAGTCAGAAGAAGAAATCTGAGTTGGCTCTCTCCCCTGCCACAGCTCTTCCCAATCTGTGGCATCCGCTTTCTTCTGTCGGGACATCTGGTGCTCCTGCATACACCAGCTTGTCCTCGAACATCAGCTGCTACATTCCTGGGTTACTGAGTCAAGCCTTTCTTCTGCCCTTCTGAAGCTTTTGTGACTGAAAAAAAGTACTTCAGGACTCAGTCTCTCAAAATTAGTCTGGTCTCAAAGTTAAATTGCAACTCTTTTTATCTGTTATTCTCATACATGTAAGCATCTAGCCAGGATCCTTCAAGTTTCAGCAAACAAAGGGATTGGAACATAGTGTTCACAATTTCCTAGCTGTCTAATCCTGGAAGCTAAAATGTATTTGCTTCTAAAATAAAGGGAAGAGAACCAAAGGTCATGGGGATGATTGGCTTTCCAGGTCCATGAAAGAGAACCAGGGGACACTGGGTGACATGTAACAGCGGGGCATTCAAAATGGTATAGGAGCATCCAATTGTAATTAACCTTTGGAGCTCCCTGCCCTGTGATGTTACAGAGGCCGGTAGCTTAGCTGGCTTTCGAACATATTGTTGGAGGGTGATGTGCATTCAAACCAGATTCCACAATTACACAGGTGTGCTTAAAAATATTAGTGTTATTCATCTCCCCAGACCTAGGCAGAGGGTTTTGGCTATTGTTAAGAAAGCACTCTAGGCTGGACGTGGTGGCTCACACCCATAATCTCAGCATTTTGGGAGGCTGAGGTGGGCAGATCACCCAAAGTCAGGAGTTTGAGACCAGTCTGGCCAACACGGTGAAATCCCGTCTCTACTAAAAATACAAAAATTAGCCAGGCATGGTGGCACGCATCTGTAAGCCCAGTTACTCGGGAGGCTGAGGTGGGAAAATGGCTTGAACCTGGGAGGTGGAGGTTGCAGTGAGCTGAGATTGCGCCACTGCACTCCAGCCTGGGCAAAAGAGTGAGATTCTATCTCCAAAAAAAGAAAAAAGAAAGCACTGTAACACTGACATATGCAACTTGGCAGCAAGCTAATTTGTTGGGCAAGGCAGGGATGTGGTTGTAGCCAACGTCACTTGTATTGTTTAGTACTTTACCACTCAGAAACTGCTCTCCCTCACACTTTCACATAATTTCTAGAGCACTCTGTGAAGCAGGTTATTATTATTCCCATTGCACAAATATGGAAACTGAGACTCACAGAGTTCAACTTGGCCAGTATCACACAGCTGGTACCTGGTAGAATTCCAGCTGAGATGTAGGGACTACTAATCTCTGGCCTCATTCTTCATATTAAATCAGCTGCTTATTGGAAGCATGCAGAGAGCTTGTAAAGAATGATAATGTCAGGGCGCTCTCTCACACCCCCAATAGGCTCTAATTTAATTAGGGCCAGGAAGTTGTTATTTTTTCTAGGAGCTCCTCGGAAGACTCATATATGCAGCCAATGCAGAGAATCACTGTGTTGGACAAAAATCACCCCCCACTGCCGTGTGTAATGCACAGAATACACTGTTCCATGAACTAAAGAACCTTTTTCAACAGAGGAGGATAAAGACTGGGCTTTCAGACTGGTGCTATGTGTCAGTTAAATAGGTGATTGTTTACATGGCATACTTTGACAACCAACAAGAAAAACTCCCGATCTAAAATGATCTCTCCTCTGTCCTTCGTGTGCCTTAAATAGTAAAAGGCTGAAAGTCTGGTTCAGGGTCAGGCTTTGGAAAGTCCCTCTTGGGCCAGGCATTGATCATTTCATTGCTCCCTCGTGGTCCCAGAAATCCTAACGAAGGGATTGGCTGACCTAGGTGGCTGAGGAGCCCGTGAAGATCTTGGAGCTGCAGGATTTTTGTTTTCTATGGGTTTTGAGAGTTTTGTTTTTCTCTATTTTTTGCCAATTAGTATAGAAGTATGCCTATAATTTGACTATCACTATGACTATGCTGATGTATATTGGCAGAGTATATGTTTGATCTTACATTATAGAAGTGTCTTTAACATTTTACTATTTGAAAAAAAATCATGAAAATTATGGCATAAGCAGAATTTTTCAGAAAAAGAAAATACCCAAAGAATATATGACTATATATGAATATGCATGACTATATATTCTTTGGGTATTTTCTTTTTCTGAAAAAAAAATGACTCTGACTATGCCTCTATCGCCATGTTGTTCTGATAAATGTTTAACAATCAAGGCAGGGTTGGAGGTAGGAGGCCTGATTTGTAATGTTTGCTAATGCCTGTGGTGTAAATACTCTCATCATGGCCAATTTTAAGCTACCAATGTGATGTCTTTAAACATGAAGTTGGGAAGAGGTGCCCATTAGCACATTATTATATATATAGTATTTATACTACACAGGTACAATAAATGTACAACTTCAAAATATAGATAATAGTTAAATGCTGCAAAATAATTACAAAGTAATGAGTGTTTGCCTTTTAAAATATAACTTATTTTGTAAGTTTACATAATTTAATTTTTAATGAGGGCTGTTTTTAACAACCAGGTAATAAAAATCATGAAAACTTAACAATTGATTCTCAGAAGCCAGTACAATCTGACTCCAGCACATCACTGCCCCACTGCTATCCAATCATTAATGTCACTGTTTAAGGGAAAACCTTGGAAGGCTCCTAATGAATGGATATATCATGCTTGAGAAGAACAACACAATCACTCAATAGAATCAATAAACAATTTATAGCAGGTTAATTTGTTATACTGACAATGAGTCACTTTGCAATGTCCTGGAAGAAAAAGCAAAAAGAGAAGAAATCTTATTATCCTTATAAAGAATATGGAAATAATACTGAGTCTCAATAAGGTACATACAGCTCAACGACTAATCACTAAATAAATGACAGTCGCTTTACTTTCATGAGTGGACAAGAAAATTAACATTTAATGCATATTTGATATATGTTACACACTATGTCGGCACTTACGAAGGCTGGTGTGATAGCAAGAAAAATGGCAAGTGGAATACAAGACTTACAGGAGTAAGAACTAGCTTCACCCCCATGCATTGGCTGTGAGTTAGACAAGTGCAACAGTAAGTATATGCAGCATCCAAGTGACAAGAGACAAAGGTACAGAATGGACAATGGACTTGGAATCTAGGGGAAAGTTGCCACTGTCTGGGAGATGGAGTAAGGACAGGCTTGCAGAGGGAAAATTAAAATTATATCTTGAAGTCTAAGGAGGCGTCTTTTGCACAATAGGCGGGGTGGGCCTTTTGGTTGTAAGAAAAGCTTACATAAAAGCTCAGTACAGCCCAGAAGGCATTCAAAAGATCCTTTGATGGAAACTAGGCTGTGTGATGGATAAGTGAAGTAAGTGACTTTGGAGAGAGTCTTGCCAAAGAGTTTAGACATATCCTGTTGGTCATAAAGCCTTCAAGGAGAGGAAAGAAATTTTGAAATAAACTGTAGCAGACAATCTTGGCTACCCTAAAAGCAGTATTGCAAATGCTTGCATTAAACTTGCTTAGTAGGTGGGACGAGGGAAGACCTCATTAGAAGGCAATTTTAACCGTCTAAGTAATATATGGGAAAGACCAGAATTACACCCTTACTACCTCTCAAAGAAGTAGAGAAAGGGTGGACTGGGAAAATATTTAGAGGAGAAAGTAAAAAAAAAAAATTTAAAAAGTTGATGACTGATAGATGTGAGTAGGCAGAGATAGAGAGGAATAGAAGATGATTCAGAGGTTTCTAAATTGGGTAAAGGGGTACATTGTGATATTAACTGAAACAAGGACAGCAGAAGAAGTAACAAGTTTGCAGAAATACCGTATGAAAAAGCCCAGTGTTAAACCTCTAAACTCAGCAAGTGCAAAGACCTGGATTGTTTCTGTTTCAGCTCCTACTTTGATTTGTAATCTAGTAATTTCTTTACTCCAGATCAAGAAGAGCAAATAGAACAATGAATATGAAAGTGCTTGGAGAAAAATATATGAGAACATATGCAAATAAGAACCCTCATTACCATTTATTCAAAGTAAATTTATTATGTCCTGATCCCAGGATCCTAGGAGCCTGTGCCAAAGTGTTCCTGCATCCAGCCTTCTCTCTTCCAGACCAGCAGCTGGGACAGAGAAAATAGAGGGTCAGAATTATGAGGTAGTCATCTTTCTTTTTTATCTAGAAAAGCTTTAGAAAAATATTTATGAGGACCAGACTGAAGACAACAAATCAGAATTTGCTTTCTGTGGCAGAGACAGGCTCCAGGCAGGACACAGAAGGGCAAGCAGGAAGCCAGAGAAAGGCTTCAAAATAAGGTTCCCCTCTTTTGAGTCAGGATGTAAGATGGACTCATCTGGAACACAGGTGTAGGCTGAGGGTTGAACCAAAGCACACTACCAAAAGCAAGGCAGGAAAAGCAAAGAGGAAGTAGGAACTCAGATGGAATAGACTTAGGTGATTAAACCATAAAACCACAAATAGAACACAGGCTAAGATGGCTAGTAAACTCACAGAAGTAGTAGGTAGCAAGCTGCTCTGCTGAGATCAGAGGCAGCATTCAGATGGATCAGTACCCAAAAAAGTAGCTCCCACGGCTCATGTCTCTCTTTAGCAGAGGGCTGTGGGATTCTCTGAGAAACTCAATTCAGTTCTAATGAGAACAGTCATGAGAGGGGGCCTGTTTCCAGTGGGACAGAGGCTTTCCCTTTGGTTCAGGAATTTCATTGAATATAACCAGTCACCTTTGACTGGGTGGACTCTCTGGGTCACTAAAGTCATAGCTGCTGAATTTATTTCCCAACATTGGGCCAGAAGTCCTAGCCCTGGGGTTTTTATTATCAAGACTCTGATGTTAATGAAGGTAATGACACCAGGCAGAGGTTACAGCCCTAGCATATTGCTTGTACATGCAGGAGCTCACTACAGGATTGGTGCCCTGAAAAAAATTAAAGCAAAGGTCTTTCCCAATTTCTTGGGGAGACTAGGATAAATATTATTAATATACTACCCCTAAATCAAATATATCATATTTTAATGATTGAGACGATATAATCAAATTCAACCAATTTCAAGAATTTATCGACTAAATCCAGTCTCTATAGGAACCAGCCATGCAACCCTGACCCCCAAAAAGACACTTCCCCTCCCTGGGTCTCCGGCACAGGTGTTAGTGAAATGAAGAAATAATGTCACAGCATCCCTGAGTGTCCTTCTAGTTTGTTTAAGGAATATACATAAAGCCAGCAGGATTTGAAATGAAAGCAATTATGCTTTGTGCCTTTATTCAACCTTTATTCAACACACATGGTCGTGTGTTGAAAGAGATATTAAATCTCACAGGGGAATTATAGAGATAAGAGCCAGCATTTGTGTGGCAGGGAAAGAATCCTATCTAAAAAGATACCTCCTCCTCCAACATTGGCCCATATGCAGTTCCTTGAAAGATACCTCCCGCAGCACATCTGCTGCCCCAACAGCCAGAATTCTGTGCCAGAGCCCACAGCATGAGCAGTGCAATTTCTCACTTCCCCAGAGTCTTCTCAGAAAAGAAATAGAGAACACAAGGGAAATGACCAAAGCCAAGTGAGTGGTGATTTCTCTGTCTGCCAAGTTGCTAAGACATGTCAGCTCTACTAGCTCTTGATCAGGGTGGGTGCCAACAAGTCTGAAAAAGCCTAGTACTACCAGGCAATCACGCTTCCCACTGAGTCCTGTCCTAGAGGATGAGATTGACCTTAGTGGCCTGTAACGCTGCAGACACAGGGAAAAGTTACTTGGAACAAGAAAGAAAAAAAATGTAACACTCGTAC
This sequence comes from Homo sapiens, assembly GCF_000001405.40. Lineage (NCBI taxonomy): Eukaryota > Metazoa > Chordata > Mammalia > Primates > Hominidae > Homo > Homo sapiens. Next base: position 51,726,530 of record NC_000018.10, on the reverse strand, counting down.
TTTATGTGTTTTCAGTTAACAATATGGCTGTGGAAGAAAAAAATAAATGAGCAAAATTTATAAAAAAAAGTATAAGTACTTTCCAGGAACTATAGAAGTACTTGGTTCTTTCCAAAGTATTGTCCAATACGGTAGCTGCTGGGCCCTTGTAACTATTTACATTTATATTAATTAAAATTAAACACAATTAAATCTTGAGTTTCTCAGTCACATGATCCACATTTCAAGTGCTCAATCGTCACACGTGACCACTGGCTACATATAGACAGCTACAGATACAGAACATCTGCATCATCGCAGAAAATTTTATGGGATAGAGCTGCTCTAAAAAGCTGAGTAGGCTGGGCGTGGTGGCTCATGCCTGTAATCCCAGCACTTTGGGAGGGCGGGGCTGGTGGATCACTTGAGGTCAGGAGTTCGAGACCAGCCTGGTCAATATGGTGAAACCCCGTCTCTACTAAAAATACAAAAATTAGTTGGGCATGGTGGTGGGCGCCTGTTAGTCCCAGCTACTCAGGAGGCCGAGGCAGAAGAATTGCTTGAATCTGGGAGGCAGAGGTTGCGGTGAGACGAGATTACACCACTGCACTTCAGCCTAGGGAGACAGAGCAAGACTCCGTCTCAAAAGATAAAAAATAAAATAAAAAGCTGAGTATATCAAAGAAAGTGGAAAACAAACCAGCATAACATCAATGAGGTTGCCTCCCATATCACTACTTGTTTAGAAGAAAATGTTAATTATTTCTATTTGTTGGCAAATCCTCTACCTGTTTCCTGTAGCTTTGGCACTTTACCTCACAGCTTCCGCTTAGCTGTTAGTCAAAGTCACAGCATTAAAACAAAAGAGTAGCACTTCCTTCAAGTTGGGAAGTGTCTGGACTCCCGCTAGTCTTTCAGAAAATACTACCCAGGCAGCTCCTCAAGCTGGGCCCTCACTTCCATCTCCTTTCTGTGAGCAAATCGAGTCATCTGCCCTCACGGCCTCTACTCCCACTGTGTAATTAACTCCCTTGGGTTTTCACTGAATGAGTGACTCAGCAAAATGACTTTTTAAATGAACGTTCACATTTAGCAATTCTGCCCACATACAAACTGGGACTGGAACTGACTTTTTAAGTAAACATACTGAGACTTTGATAACTAAATTAGTGGGTTTTGTTCCAAATAGTCACCCTAGCAGGTAACATCCTGCTTCCAATCATACAGATGTGTCTCAGATCACTGCTGGAACATTTCTTAGGGAATTGGCTTCAAGGCACATGTAAGTGTAAAGTGACAAAACGTTCTTTAATAAGGGATGTGGATGTCTTCTCGCGCTCTCCTCTTTAGAGTGTCTCTGAAAACTAAGAGGCCACAGAACTTTTGATTTTACAAAGCAGGTCACAAGCCTTCTGACCCTTGGAACTATAAATACATGCCTCCAAAATTAACACGGGAGGCATATAGGGACAATCACAAGGTGCATATTCATTTGTCTGTCAAACAGATGAGACATTTTAATTGTCTTTTTTTCTACTTTACTGTATAAATTTATGTGCGATTCTGTCCAGACTTTATAGTCACTTCCATGCTGCTGGATGTGTGTGTAAATCTGATAATGCTCACCAGGTAATAAATGGTTTCTCCCTCTTCTCTATGTTTCAGAAGGGTCTTGTGTTGGCAGAATTATATTTCCCCAACAACTGAAACACATGCATTTAAATATTTTAAACCTGTATGTTCACAGGCAAATTTGATTCTTGGAACCCCTTTCAAAAGTCACCTGGAATTTGAGTAGTGGTATGAATGATCATTTAAGATTATAGAGTTTGGGATAAAAAATGAAGCAGGTTTTTCTTTTGGTTTTTTAATATGACTCACAGGTTAATTTCCAGGAATACTTCTTTGAAGGGGATGAAAACTTGGGTTCATTTAAAAAAAAAGTCCTATTACTTTATAATTCTACCAAGTATATAATACATATAATATATTCAAAACACCTAAACAGATTTTTATACTCTCAGTAAATGATTTTTTCCCTTATTTTTATACATGTCCTTAAAATAAATGGACTTCATTAAAGATACCAGATATCCCAGCAATAATTTACAGATATTGGATTTAAAGAGCACATAGTAAAATTCAGTTGAGTCAAAAGAGTAGAAAAAGCTAATTTTGTATCATTTTCCCCATATTCTGAGGACCTATCATTGGCTGTATACAGAACGTAAAATCAAATACAATATTTTCCCAATATTCACAATCTATTTGATTAACTCCCCAGATGCAAACATAAAGAGAGGAGAAAGAAGCCTCAGGAAAGAGATTTTGACAAGACTGAACATGGCCAGCACCATCTCTTTCTGGGAACAGGCATGAAGGATTAGTTGGTGCCATCTCTCCAGCCCTCTGAGGTGGATGGCACACTGTTGAGGTGCCGGGTGATCACATGAGCTACCGGTTGGATATTACTGGAAAGGCACGTTCTCTCAGATTAATGTGTTGCTGTTGGTCCTCCTCTGATCTCCACGAAGGCGCCAGGTATATGCATCCATCTTGGCGATCTTCAGGTGGTGTGGCAGAAAAAGCACCCTATACCTTGCCAGGAGTTTGGAAACCCAGGTTCTCAAGACAGTTTCTCGATCAGTGAGTAGGATGACTTTAGCAGGGCCCAGACACTCCCTGTACCCCAGATTATGGATCTGAAAAATGAGGGGAAGTGATGATCTCTAAGATCCTTTTACTAAAGGAGCTAAGACTCAGACTTAGCTCCTTTAGGCCAGTGTCTCTTGAATTTGAAAGACCCTGAGAATCATGTAGGAGCACTGGTTTAGAAAAAGACAGATTGTTGATCTTTATCCCAAAATCTTCAGGGAAAGGGACAGGGAAACTAAATGTTTAAATGAAGACTCAGGTGAGACTGCGATAGAACAATGAAGGGTAAGGAGCCACCCGAAGTCTCCACTGTTCTACCTAGCTTTGATCTCATTTTAGAATGAAAAGTTAAAAACTCTATCTTTATTCCTATTTTTCAACTATACTCAGATATTAGCATTTTAGCAACTAAAGAGCAGGGCCATATCTCTCACTGTTATTCTTCCAGTGCATAAAGTAGTGAATCTCTAAATTTGTCCAGGGTATTTAATAGACTTCATTTTAAGTGAGAATGAACATCAAGAAGGGAGAAAGAAGCCTCAGGAAAGAGATGTTGACAAGACTAAACACGGCCAGCGCCATCTTTGCCAGCATTTGGAATTTGTTGGGCTGTTGCAAATATAAATGGTTATTTTTTTCCCAAAAGAAAGGGATGAGGAGGAAGATATGAAGGAGAGGAAATAGAAACTCAAATCTGGTTGCAAAATGACCTTTGTTACCAATGATCCCACGAATATTGTAGCAGACAGTCAAATGGATATCAATCAAGTGGATTACAGTGTTTCCCTTCCCTGACCTTTGCAATACAGGCTTACTGAGAAAGAAGGCAGGGCAGGAAGAGGCTGGACCAGGAACACCAGCCCATCTCTAGTTCACTACTTTAGGAGTGGCTAATGAATGGTGCCCATCAGGTGTTTCAGAAGGTTCTGAACAAGCAGGGCTCAAACTCAGCCAACAGCCACATCCACGAGCACTCAGACAAAGACTATAGAACAATAGAATTCCCTAGATTGTAATAATTGTAGGGTTTAAGTCTATAAGGCTTATAGCAGATTTCAAGGGCCCTTTCCAACAAATAACAAATATGTGCATATCCGCGCACGTGCACGCACACACACACACACATATTTTGGATTCTATATGTCTAGGCTGATATATGCATTGTACCCTATGAGGTTCCAAGTGGCTACTGAAAGCAGAAAAACTGAATTTTATTCTCAAATAGGAAGAAATTGAAGATGTGTCTCAATAAGAGATTTTTTCTTAAGTGAAAAATTTTCTTTTTCTTAAAGAAAATGTACAGACTTCCTAATCCTTGAAGTACACAAATAGCCTAACTTGTTTGAGAACTCCATCCCTGCAAGTAATCTCAGATTGGAACTGAGGCCTGAAATACAACCAATATCTGACCTTACTACTTCCTCGTTGCTTTCTGATAATTTGAGGAACATTTGGATACCATGCTCAGACTGACCAACAAATAAATGGCCAAGAGCCAGCTTGAGTGGCAGCAAAATCCATAAAACTGACTTGCATTAAGAAATCAGCTTGTGTTGCAGGAGGTCATCTCAGCAGAGGAATGCAGTGGTATCTGACATCTGACTGCCCTTTCATGGTTTTATGCTGGGGGGTAAAACCTGGACCCACAGTTACTGCACAGCCGTGGTAGAAGGAGGGATGTTCAGGAAGGCGTTGACAGCTGACTCAGCTGCAGCTGGGATGATACTTTTGCTGATGTGTAGAGCATTCCTATAGAAACACTTTATCCTTTTGATTAAATGTAATAAATCTTCTCTTGTTTAAGTAGTAGGTGGTTTGCTTTTGGAAAAGCTTTAAAGAGAAAAATCAACATCTGTGGTCCATGGAAAAGCAGGAAATTGGTCAAACACCAATGTATAGCCAATGCCTTCCAAGAGTGACAGTCATTAGGTGGGTGGAGGTGGCCTATGTTCTGAATAAACATCCCTCTGCAGGAGTGGAGATGGAATGGCAGGAGCATTATTGGTTCAGCAGGCCTACCTGATTCGGGAGCAGGATCTAAGCCAGGTATGAAACACATGAGATGCAAGAACTAGCCCTGGCAAATGAGACTGGTAATGGCTAGACAGCATGTTCAATCTCCAGCCAGCTTCAGTGCAGGGTAAGACTCTGGTTAAAAATACATACATATGCACACAGAAAAAGTAGAATGCCGTCATATAAACACAAAGATAGGATTAAGGACCAAACTGGAGGAACATGCAGTTGCCCAGGGAGCATACCTAGGCATAGGGCAGGCATAAGCAGCAGGTGGCACCACACATGCTGCTTTTTTCAGTGCCAGTGTTGTTGAGAGATAGCTACTGGACTTGGTTGTTAAAGGCATCAGTTCAACTGGGCATAGCTTGGGAAGAACAAATAGAAGGTCTCTTGAACACTGAGGTCTGTTGCCTACAGCAGTCACTGACAGCAACACACTGCAGCCCTACTGCAATTATTTCAAAGGCCAGATCTGATTGAACTTTATTCAAGTAGAGGTATGGCCAAGGGAGAGAGGTATGTTAACAGTCATATAAAAAACGAAGCCTTTACTTTTAACACAGTGCTCACCTTACAACATCATCAGTATCTTTTTAGCCTACATCATCAGTATCTTTACAAATGAGAAAAGATCATGAGATTTAGGCCATAGGGTTATTAAAAGTCTAAGAATCTGTTATCAGTAACTGAAGATAAGACAAGAAAACCTTAAAAAGATAATTTGGTGCCCCAAAGAATATCTATGCAGTGACAGTATTGAGAGGTTTACTGGGAGTCACTGGTATATATTCAAATACAGTTTTTTTTAACCATTATGCATAACCCCTAATGAGATATTCTATCAATTGTACCAAACATATTTATGACATATGAGAGGTATCCCACAAATGGATGATGTCAAATCGCATCTTAATATGCTAAGAGCATGTGGCTCATCCCTTTATTTCTAGCCTTTCTATATCCCCAGGCCCCTGCCACCCCTTTACATAACATTTCTGAGTCCTTGTATACCTAGTTTCAATCTGAATGCCAATACGTTCTTAAGAAATCACAGACTGGGTGTGGTAGCTCACACCTATAATCCCAGCATTTTGGGAGGCCAAATCGGGCAGATCACCTGAGGTCAGGAGTTCGAGACCAGCCTGACCAACATGAAGAAACCCTGTCTGTACTAAAAATACAAAACTTAGTCGGGCGTGGTGGCACATGCCTGTAATCCCAGCTACTTGGGAGGCTGAGGCAGGAGAATTGCTTGAACCCAAGAGGCAGAGGTTGCGGTGAGCCAAGATCACGTCATTGTACTCCAGCCTGGGCAACAAGAGTGAAACTTCATCTCAAAAAAAAAAAAAAGAAAAAGAAGAAAAGAAAAGAAAGAAAGAAAAAGAAATCACAAGGAGAGAGCTGGCTTATTGGAAATCATGTCATGATGCAGATGTCGGCCAAGTGATGTAACAGTTCAGCAACTTAGGACAAGACTGTGAGGTTTTTATTATATCACAGAACAAAGGAGAGGGGAATGTGTTAAGTCTCCAAACATTTACTAAAATTATTTACAAAACAGATCACTAAATATGATTTATGGAGAATATATTGTACTAGTCTGTTTTCAGAGTGCTATAAAGAAATGCCCAAGACTGGGTAATTTATAAAGGAAGAGGTTTAATTGACTCACAGTTCTGCATGGCTGGGGAGGCCTCAGAAAACTTATAAGCATGACCGAAGGGGAAGCAAGCTTGGACCTTCCTACATGGCAGCAGGAGAGAGAGAGAGAGCGAGTGAAAAGCCCGGGGAAACTGCCATTTATAAAACCATCATAAATCTCATGAAAACTCCCTCACTATCACAAGAATGGCATGGGGGAAACCACCCCCATGATCCAGTCACCTCCCAGCAGGTCTTTCCCTCAACACCTGGGGATGAGAATTCAAGATGAGATTTCTGTGGGGACACAAAGCTTAACAGTATCATATATAAAGAATCCTCAAAACCCAATGACAAAAAAAAGCCCAATTAAAATTGTGCAAAGGATTTGAATAGACTGTTCACCAAAGAAGATATACAAATGGCAAATAAGTACACGAAAAAATGCTCAATATCATTAGTAACTAAAGACATCCAAATTAAAACCACAATGAGACACCACCATTCCTTTATTTGAATAGCTAAACTTTCTAAAGCTTTACAGATAACACCAAATAATGGCAAAAATGTGGAGCATCAGAAATTCTCCTCCATTTCTGGTGGGAATGTAAAATAGTCCTGCCACATTGGGAAATTGAAAGTCTTTTATAAAGTTAAGCATATACTTACCATATGACCCAGTAACATCACTCCCAGGTATTTACCTAAGAATCATGAAAATTTATATTCCCACAAAAAGTATACACAAATGCTTATAGCAACTTTATTTATAATTGTCAAAAATGGAAGCAACCAAATGTCCAACAATTCATAAATAGATAAACCAGCTGGACGGGCATGGTGGCTCACGCTAGCACTTTGGGAGGCCGAGACGGGCGGATCACGAGGTCAGGAGATAGAGACCATTCTGGCTAACACGGTGAAACCCCGTCTGTACTAAAAATACAAAAAATTAGCCGGGCGTGGTGGCAGGCGCCTGTAGTCGCAGCTACTCAGGAGGCTGAGGTAGGAGAATGGCGTGAACCCGGGAGGTGGAGCTTGCAGTGAGCCGAGATCTTGCCACTGCACTCCAGCCTGGGCCACAGAGGGAGACTCCACCTCAGAAAAAAAAAAAAAAAAAGATAAACCAGCTGTGGTACAAACATACAATGGGATACTACTCATCAAAAAAAGGAGAAATAAACATTTCAAATGCATTATGTGAGCAAAATAAGCCAGTCAAAAGTCTACTTTCTATATGATTCCACTTATAAAGTCATCTAGAATATGCAAAATTATAGGAACAGAAAACAGACTCTGGTTCCCAGGGGCTGGGGAGAGCCCAAAGGGTTAACTACAAAGGAGCAAATGTGAGGGAATATTTCGAGGGGATAGAATTGCCCTTTATCTGGATTATGAAGGTAATTGTAGAACTATATGTGTTTGTCAAACACATAGAACAGTACCCCATAAAGAATTCATTTTACTGTATGTAAAAAGGAAATAAAATTTTAAAAGATTTTTAAAAAGTTATTAAAATGGTTGATAAATGTCAAAATCAATATGCAGTAGTCAACTGGAAACTTAAATCAGGCCACATTTATCCCATATCAACAGTGTTACAGTAAAATGACCAGGAACTAATTTCTTTTTTTAAGGCTCTGCCTTAAAGAATCTTTGTCCAAGTTATTGATCATCAAAACGTCCCAGAAGAGCCTCAGTCCTCTCGATGCAGTAAGAAATAGCAGGCTGTCACCAATGAGTGTTAGAGGTCCCTGTCTCAATCTGTTGGAACTGGCCCAAATTTATCTCTGATTTCCGCTAGTTGAAGACCAAAGGCATGAAATCCCTGCATTTGATGAGCTTAGGATCCTGTATTATAAATCACTTACAAATTTGAAAAATGTCATCCTTTGAATTAAAGGAATAAATAGGATTAGTCTCTGATTCTTAAGATTTATTCTTAAAGTAGCATAGCAAGAAAAGGAAGCATAAGGCTTGTAAAGGCCCAAACATTTCAACCCAAATGCACTGCCAAGAGTTATCTCTGCATATATTCAACAAGAAATACAGACAAGCAAAATAAACATCCTAGGACATATTTCATGGGGGAAAAGAGCCTAAAAGCCTGTTTCCCCAAATCTATCTTTTGAAATCTCAAAGATAATTTTTCACCTAGTTGAAATAACTCCAGCCTCCTCCACGCCCTCTAATACTCAATCTTCTTTACCTGTGAAAATCCTACCCATTCTTCAAGATGCAATTCAAAAGAAAATTACATATTGAAGCTACAATAATGTGAATTTGGAATTTGGTTTCCTGGTGTAGTTTTAGAAACGTGATAAGATCCAACTTAAATAATTCCTTTTATCATATGTGAAATCAAAAGTATTAATACATTGTTTATCCTACATCAGCGGTTCTCAAACTTTAGCATGCATCAGAATCAGGGGAGGATCTGCTAAAACAAAGATTTCTGGTGGGTCTCACCCCGCTGAGTTTCTGATTCAGTAAATCTGAAGTGAGACCTGAGAATCTGCATTTCTAACAAGCTCCCGGGAGATACTGATGCTGCTGGTCTGGGGAACAAACTTTGAGAATCCCTGCCCTACATAATGCAAGAGTGAAATAAGATAGCACATGGGCAAAGCTGTTTTATAAGGTATAAATTGCTATACTACTGTAAGGGAATCTTGTTTTTATTGTTGCATTGAATACCTTAAGAAAGCTTCTTTGTCTCTCTAACTAGTTTTTTGCAGTTTTTACTTTGAAAATCTCTGAAATATTCTGTACATCTTTTCTGACACTACTGATAGTCCACCTAGGACTGAAGTGATTTTTATTCTGTTTTTATTACTCCAACTAAACTTCACTGAGATCTTTCAAACCCGGCATTGCACAGCAGACTATTTTGCAGACAATAGGTATTCTGGGCAATAAGTTGTTGAACTGTGTTAAACATCCCTTATTATAAGAATACTGCTGGCAGGGCGTGGTGGCTCACGCCGGTAATCCTAGCACTTTGGGAGGCCAAGGTGGGCAGATCACACGGTCAGGAGATCGAGACCATCCTGGCTAACACAGTGAAACCCTGTCTCTACTAAAAATAGAAAAAATTAGCTGGGCATGGTGGCGGGCACCTGTAGTCCCAGCTACTCGGGAGGCTGAGGCAGGAGAATGGCGTGAACCTGGGAGGTGGAAGTTGCAGTGAGCAGAGATCATACCACTGCACTCCAGCCTGGGCAACAGAGCGAGACTCTGTCTCAAAAAAAAAAAGAGAATACTGCTTTACTTTCTGATGATTGTAATGAAAACACAGTTGAAACATATTACAAAACACACAATATATTATTTTCATGAATTGGGTGTCTAAGGTCGCATTGAAACTGATACAGTATAAACTATTTGATCAAATTTTAAACACCAAATAAATTCTATGCTGACATAAATGATAATTGCTAAGTATGCTGTTAATGGGCAAGCATTTTAAAAGTTGTATCAGCTTTTGATCAGTAGCATAAATTTTCCAAGTATGGCTTTGATTCCATGAGTAAATGTGTTTTCAACTTCATTGCTTCTTCCAATGAAATTGATACTAAAAGAGCTGTTGACCCTGCATCAGTGGTTCTCAAACTTTAGCATGCATCAGAATCAGTGGGAGGAACTGTTAAAACACAGGCTGCTGGTGGGTCTCACCTCCAGAGTTTCTGATTCAATAAGTTTGAAGTGAGACCTGAGAATTTGCATTTCTAACAAGGTCTATACTTAAAAGAGCGGAATTCCTGCACAATACACATAAGGTTCCTGATTGTGGTTATGAGAGGTCACACCTGCCCACTGTGAAGAAACCAGATGTGACTACTCTTAGGGAAGAACAAGTGTGGCATGACAGTAAGTGGTAAATGGCTACTAAACATTAAGGTTTTAAATCATTATTGTTCTTTGCATTTTACTAACAAAGTCTCATTTATGCAAAGCAAAAGAATTAAGTTATAATTATTGAAATAGGGGCATCAGTGACCCTATGAGATCATATGTTAAGGAATGAAGAAGACTTTCCCAACACCCTGAAATGATGCCTTTGTTGACAGTTACTTATTTTGCCCCACATAAAGTCAAATTCTGCCTGTGGGGAATAAAGCCATTGAAAAGCCAAATTCTGAAATAAACCTCTGCCCATTCATAAAATGTCACTTGTTAACATTTTTCTTTTGATGTTATAACACAAACTCTGAGAATTCAAAATCTATGCTTGACTTATCTTGGAAAGCTTAGAGACAGGTAAATTTTTGTTATCTTGGTAAAATAAACCATCCCAAAACAGTATAAAGCAACAGTAATGTTATTTATTCTGGTTGCAATTTTGGGCAGGGCTCAGCAGGGATGGCTTGTCTCTGCTCTGTGTTGTATAAACTGGTACAGCTCAGCTTCCAGGGCAGCTCACTCACATGGCTGGCAAGTTGGTCCTCGTTGCCCAGGAGCTCAATGAGGCTATTGGCCAGTGGCCTCAGTTCTCCTCCATGTGGACCTTTCTGCTTGGGCTTACCCACAGTTTGGCAGCTGGGCCCAAGAGGGAGGAGGCAGAAGTTGCTGGTCCTGCTAAAGCATCACTTCCTCTGCATTGTATTGATTAAGCAATCACAGAACTAGTCTAGATTGAAGGGTAGGAGAAATAACCCATGCCTCTCAATGGGGACAGTGACCAAAAAATGTGTGGCCGTATTCAACCTATGAGTGAAGATTTTAGCTAAGACCAGACATTAAGTTAGAGCAGAGAAAGTGAAAAATCTATCTTTAATCTTAAAACAAGATAAAGCTTGACTTCAGTGCTTCTCCAAGTATGGTTCCCAGACCAGCCACATCACCCAGAAACTAGTTAGAAATGTGGATTCTCAGGTCCCATCCTAGGCTTACTGACTGAGAAAGTCTGCTTTACATTAAGGGTGAGGATTTTTCCTTCCCAACCCTAAACTGTACTGAATCAGTTAATAAGATTAAGATGGAGTTTAGTTATAATAAACAGCTATGTTTACTTAGAAAAGAGAATAGCAAATATAGCTAAAGATCTGGATTTACTTACAGTGATACACAATGTTTACATATAATTTAATATTCTAAAAATATTTATCAGGGTTTATACATAATAGATTTATATCTCCTTGGCGGTTAATCCTCAGTAAATATGCTTTTACTTATTATGCACTCTTATTAAATTCCAATTAAATCTCTATGTAGGAACATTCATTTAAAGTGATACTAGAAGTACTGATTACAAAATCAATTACTGGCATGGAGCCATAGTGTTATTTGAAGAAAATGGTGACCTCCACTTTTTGGTACCAAAAGAAGAGGAATTAAAAGTTATGCAGTCACCAATCATAGTCTATAAACAATCTTTCCGGTTGTATCTATGGTTGTATCTGCTAAAAGACAGGAGAGATAATAAAGCTCATGACCAATTTTGAGAAAGATAATACTTAGTATAATAATAATCTGTCATTAAAGTTCATAGCAACATGTATTACTATTGATTTATCTATGTACATATATATTACACACTATATAGAGCATATCAACAGAAAGAGCCAAAAAATTTAAATAGCTGACACAATAGCCAACTAATACTTCATAGCCTTGTGCCATTTAATGGAAGACTGAGTGAAACCACCTTAGCAAAAATTATAACTGAGACAATTATTACAGTGACAGAGATCTGACCTAACCGACTACATCTTGCTTCTAACCTCCAAGCTGTCTTTGTTCATTCCTGGGCATAGGACAAACCAACTTTGGGAGGAACCTAGTTTATAGTTTAACTTTGAAATAAAGATGATAACTGCCCTTTCCCAAAACAAACCCCCTTTCTGCCCGGGGACTAGACTGCATCTGCAAGACTAACAAATTAGCTACAAGATTAGAAATTATGGTTCAAGAGTCATGCAGCTGGAGGCTGCCAGATTCTGAACCTCCCGAACTGCTCCTCAGGATAATATCACTATTGTAAAACCTAAGATCAGTGCTTCGGATATTTTGCAGATCCTGAACTTGATGGATCAGCTGGCATCACCCAGATCAATAAACTGGCTCATGTAGTTTTATGGCTCCCACCCAGGAACTGACTCACTGCAAGAGGACAGCTTCGACTCCCTGTGATTTTATCTCCAACCTGACCAATCAGCACTCCCCACTTTCTGACTGCCCTACCCAACAAATTATCCTTAAAAATCCCAATCCCTGAGTTTGTGGGGAGACCAATTTGAGTAATAATAAAACTCTAGTCTCCCATACAGCTGGTTCTGCATGAATTAAACTCTTTCTCTATTGCAATTCCCCTGTCTTGATAAATTGGCTCAGTTTAGGCAACAGGCAAGGAATATCTGTTGGGTGATTACATGAGTAGCCCTGAAACATTAATACCCCTGAGACTCCTCCTATCACAGCTCAGTCTGATTGTTAATGAATAATGAATATAGGAAAATTTGGGCCCACAGCTAGACCAAGAAAAGATCCATTTATGTTTAGTTCCCTCCTTCCAAGAGAAACTGGAGAGTTCAATGCATTTTAGAATTTTTTTAATTCAAAACAATTAATTTTTTTTTGAGACAAGATCTTGCTCTGTTGCCCATATGGGAATGGCATGATCACAGCTCACTGCAGCCTCAACCTCCTGGGCTTAGATGGTCCTCCTGCCTCAATCCCCCAAGTAGCTAGGACTACAGGCATGCACCACCATGCCCAGCTAATTTTTGTATTTTTTAGTAGAGATGGGGTTTTGCCATGCTGCTCAGGCTGATCTCAAACTGCTGGGCTCATGCCATCCACCCACCTTGGCCTCCCAAAATGCTGGGATTACAGGCATGAGCCATCGCACCTGGCAAGAAGATTGATTTTTTTTTTTAAGTTGGTTCTTAGACAAGTAATTAATCCCCTGGATATACTGCCTCTTTTCCTAGTGTCTGGTTAGCTTATACATCATCGTGATCTTTTTAAAGAAAAATTTTCTAAGTCTCTTTATAGATTCCCTTAGGAAACTGAATGGACCTCTCCCTTCAGTGGGTGTTAATACTCAGTTCAGTAAATAGCAGAATTCTGAAATCTCAGCCAGGGCCTCCCTTCCAGGAAGTATGGCAAAGAGCCCTCAAAAGCTTGGCTTGCTCAAAACGTTAGTGAAGGCTAAAGACAGATATTCAAATAAAATGAGGCCTAAAAGGAGATGCCACCAGAAACAGCACCTCTGATTACCCAAGTAGAAGCCACTACTACCCCCAAGTTTTCAAGGGGCTGATTTGAGTCATAAGGAAACTTTGGTATGAACTCTCCCTACTTCTTTCTCCACATTTGCCAAGAAATTTTTCTGCATTAGTTTCAACTTTTAATCCTCTCTCTTCTCTTGGAGGAGGACAAGTTTCTTGGCTCACGATGCTTCTGTGATGTGAATTCCTTTCCTATCGACTCTTAAAACCTTATTCCACAGATCATTTTTATGCTAATACACATCCCCTGTAATATGAGTCATCCCTTACACAGCAGGTACAAGCAGCCTAAATTTCCAATTTATAAGAGTAACCCCAAGAGAGGAAAAGAACTAGGCAGTGAGTGGGAAAAGAGGATTTGGGGAATTCTGGGAGAGGCCAGGGCAGCAAAGAACCTAGAGTCAGCTAGGAGGATGAAAAGAGATTAAGGGACCTGGAAACATATTTGCACTTAGCACAGGGGCAGCAGCAAAGGGCCTGAAGACTATGAGACCTCAAGTTCCAGTTCTGCAGCTTACACCTGTTCCCCAACCTCTCTAAACCTCGGCTTTTTCTGCTGGAAAATAGAGCTAATAGTACCTCCCTTGCTGATATTGTAAAGATTGCATGGGATTTGTATGCAAATTACCTTAAAGAGTGCCCTATGAATAGATGTATACCCTTTATATGTATCACTGTATTTCCCTGTATGTAGAAAGGACCAAGAATACCACCGAAAGCAAACGCCTGCTCCTCCTCATGTAGCACTTGAACAATAGACAATATGTAAATCAGCCTGACACCACCCACCTCCTTCCCTCCTATTGCTAAACATTTGGAGGCTTATGGGACACTGGTATAAGTCATCAATTCCACATTGGAAAAGGTAAAGGATACTCCCTTCAGTTGTTTCTCTCTTTATCTTCATTTCAGGTTGTCTGCATTAAATTAAATCTGAAAGGTAGAGTATACTGAACTACAAATTAGGAATTCTATGAGGAGTGGAGGTGCAGATTTACCATTCTGCCTTTCCCATTTGAGGCTATCTCCTTCAGCCCTCCTGTCTGCTCTCAAACCCCACTGACATATGTTTTTTTGAGTACAATACAGTGTAGGAAACCTTAATGCAACATAATTCTTAACTAGCAAGCTGCCTCAGTGAGCATTATTATAGTGTATAAACCAAACATGCATCTTTCCCAGGTGAGGAGACTGAGGTAAGAAAGGAGGCAGAGAAAAGCAATGCAGAATAAAGCAAGTAACTTGAAACTTCATTTTTGTGAGCTGGGGGTCACTATATGGGCCTCGTTTGCATACTTGCCTGGGGGAACCCCCATGTGCTGGAGGCAAGCCTTGGGGCCTCATTTGCATAATCCCTCTGAACTTCTGAGGCAGGCCTATGAAATGGACTTGGGGGTTTAGTGACATTCACTATGTTCAAACAAAAATTCCTCTTGGAAAGAGGTACTAGTTCCTGAACCACTGAAACCCACAGAGAAGACAGCATTGTCAGGGGAACTCCCCTAAGCCAGCAACAGGCAGTGATGCAGTGGCTCTCAGGAGGGACAAGGACTTTGTGGAGCTATGACGCTGAGTCCTGCTGATGGGATTCCTCTTCTGCTTCTTAGGGAATGGAAGGATTTCCCTTGAAAGAAAGCAGATTTTTTTGCAGTTAAGACTCCAGATGCACAAAATGACCTGGAGACACCTGGGGTTAGAGAGGTCACAACAGCCTTGGAATAAGGAGTAGGAGGCCTGGCTGGTGGCAGAGAGTCTCCCTTCTGGGCAAGGACACAGAAGCAAGAATGGCCAAGAGCAGCTTTGTCCAAAGTGCATTCCTAATGGCTGACCCCTTGTTACTATCCCACAGGGGCATCTCCATCTCAGCTGTCTCAAACCAGCAGCATGGACTTCACTAGGAGCTGGTTAGAAATGCAAAGTCCCTGGCCCTGTCCAGACTTATAAATCAGACACTCTAGGGGGTGAGAGGCAGTAATCTGTGCTTTAACAGGCCTTCCAAATGATTTGATGCCCTAACTAGTTCTCTCTTTGGGGAGGGGAGTTGCTAGATTGACTTCACTGTTTTTCTGATGATGGTTGCCTGCAGGGAGCTCCTCCTCACTGCCCAACACGTGGCCCTTTGAAGCTTGCCAAAAGCCTGTGGAACCTGCTTATCCCCTCTCTGTTCCAGATACTACTCTACCCGCCCCTCCCACAATGAGGAGTGGAATTGTTCATTACCAAAGTGTTCAGAAGATGTGCCAACCTGTCCAGACACAGTCCCCTGCATGACTTGAGACTCTTTCCCTTCCTCTCTTCCTCCTGGAGTCCTCTCCCTTTTGGGATGATTGGACCCACTCCCCTACCTGCTTCTCTAAAATGTATCAAGTCATCTTGCAAACTGTGATTCCAGGCATCTTAGGAGTATCCCTCAGCCTCAAGCACTTACTAAATATCCACAGCTTTCCTCTTCCACCCAATTTTCTGGGCGAGCTCTGGTCCCCGCATTTGCTGGCTTCATGGGGCAAACGGGAATGAGACAACCCTGTCTAGTTCATGGAGATCAAGACAATGGATTAGATGAGGCATAAGTTGGGGCTCTTCATCTGAATTATAACTGATGTTTTGTTAAAGTTTCTATGACCGGTTTCATCTCAGTACCCAGAGATTCATGGAAAAGGAAATTAAGTGTCATGGTGTGACTTACTTCGCAGGCAGTAAGGGAATTTACCAGAACAGTTGTAGGTAAAGAAAGGCAGATTTATTCGAGAAACTACAAAGATCTGTTGCAAGGGTGCAATGGGTAGCACAGAAGAGAAAGGGCTGTCTGCAAAGAAGTGAGTGTGAGGTTCTTGTACCAGTTCGAACCCCGAGAGCGCGCCAACAGACAACAGGAGGTGCTATGGAGCAACGTGCTGTTTTAATGAGTGCCTGGGTGCAGGTGGGCTGAGGCCTAAAATGGCATCAGCCCCCAGTGAGGACAAGACAAAGGTTTTATAGTCTCCTGTAAACAGGAAGTGTCCTAGTCTGACCTAACTGCTATGTTGTACCCAAATGGCCTTTTTCTTGATCTTCAGGGGTACGTGTTTCCTGGCCGGCTGTCTTCCTGCTTCTACTATCTTGCTGGTGCACGCTGCTGACACAAGTGGCCTTGCACCCTGGGACTGGGCCTGAGAAGGGAGGAGTTATTCATCTCTTTAAGCTTTCAGGCCCCTGGGAGAATCTTACATTCCTGTCTATTTGGTTATAGAAAAGGGAAAAGGGAGAACTTTCTCAATAACTACTTCAGGCGTGACATAGAGGTGATCTGGGCACCTTGGAAAAAGAAAAACTTAATTTTTGGTGTATTCTTGAGAGACGGGTTGGTATCCATCATGTCATTGTAGCAGGAGCATCGTTTGGATTGTCTGGTGGTTAACTGTAGTTTTAACAAGAGTTTTAATGGCTTTTATTATCAGTGGGATAACACAGGGGAGAAACAGGAGAACCCCAGTGATGAAGATTACTGTCCCTACCAGGGTTTTAAATCCTCCTAAATTAGAGAGCCATCCTCCTAGAAGGTTTGTTGGGTCCCATCCCTTTTAGGTTTGGACTGTACATGGGCTACTTTTCTGATGTTTGAAGCAATTTTTAGAACTGCTTTTCCGTTATTGTCTATGTTAAGACAGCAATTAGAGATATTAAGTTTACCACAGACTCCACCCCCTTCTGCTAATAAGTAGTCTAGTGCTAGCCTGTTTTGATAAATTGCTGAGCGCATTTGGTTTTGTTGTTGCAAGAGCATTTCCAGGGCTGAGGCGATTTGGTTAGTGATTATCCCTAGAACTGCCTGTAGTCTAATTATTCTATTTAGCATATATAGGCGTGCGATAACCCCATAAACCATCCTCAGCCCAAGTGGCAGGACCGTAATATTCGATGATCCATTGCGGAGGCCATTCATCCCCTTGCCATCTTTGGCTTCCTCTTAGCTTTAAGGATGGTTTTTCTTTGTTTAGGTTATTACATACAGGGACTCTGAGGGTGTTGCCCACTGTTAGTGTTTTGGAGGAAGGAGTAGTCTTGGGGGTGAGCTTGACCCTGGTGTGATGGACCCAGTGGGGGAGTCCTTGGATTTTCACTGCAGTTGGCATGCTGAATATCACAGTGGAGGGGCCTGTCCACATTGGTTGTAGCTTTTGGGTGAGGGTTGGGTTGGCAGATAAACACGTCTGTGCCTGCAAGGCAGTTATGTTGAGAGGACAAGGAGGTGTTAACAGGGAGAGGCATGGCCTTATCTGCTGCTTCACGAATGAAAGACCATGTCTGGATTAAGGAGGGGCGGTAATTCTTGAGTGGTTTAGAGTCTGGTAAAGATGGAGGTCCTAAGACAAAAGTTCAGTCGTACATGATTTTAAAGGGACTATAAAAAGAGGGTGCTTTTGGTGTTGTGCGGAGTCTCATGAGGGCAAAAGGGAGATTTTTTTGTCCACAACTGGCAGATTTTTAAAGCCACCTTGGTGAGTTGGGCTTTAAGGACAGAGTTAATTTTTTTAACTTTGCCTGAAGATTGAGGCTTGTAGGGTGTGTGGAGAACCCATTTTATACCTGAGGATGTAGAGACATCTTGGGTAATTTGGCTGATGAAGACAGGCCCATTATTGGACTGGATGGATGTTGGGAGTCTGAAACAGGGAATTATATGCACGATGAGAGTTTGTGTGATGACATTTGCACCTTCTGAAGTTCTTGGGAACGCTTCTACCTACCCGGAGAAAGTACAGACCAAGACTAGAAGACAGCGGAGCCGTTTATCAGGTGGCATGTGAGTGAAGTCTACTTGCCAATCTTGCAGGGGTACCTGGCCCCGGGCTTGGTGGGTAGGAAAAGGCAGCAGCCAGAGGGAGCCCTGGGATGACACTAAGTAGCAGAGAGCAGGACTGAGTAATCCCTTGAACACAGCTGGAAAGATGAGGACAAGTGAGGATAGGGCAGAGAAGTTGCAGGAGAGGTTTGTAACCGACATGGAAAGAGTTGTAGAGGCTTTGGAGGTGAGGAAGGCTTTGAGAGTGAGGAATAATGAGGCGCCCTTCCTTGACATACCATGGTCCTTGCTTTTGAAGGTTTTGGGCTCAGAAGTCCACCTTTTCTTCTGAGGAGTAAAGAGGAGAGAAGGCGGACAGGGACAGAAACTGGCCTTGCACAGGTTGTAGGGCTACTTTTCTGGCTACATGATCTACTAGCACATTTCCAGCTGACATAGGATTGTCTGGGGTTTGGTGGCCCCTGCAATGAATGATGGCAGCTTTCTGTGGGAGCCTGGCAGCTTGAAGGAGTTTGCTGATGAGAGAGCCATTTATGACAGGAGGGTTCTTTGCAGTTAGGAAACCCCGTTCTTTCCAGATGGACAAGTGTGAGTGCACTAGGTGGAACATAATGAGAATTTGAATATATGTTGATCTGTTGTCTGGCTGCTTGAGTGAGAGCTTAAGTGAGGGTGATGAGTTCAGCTTTTTGGGAGGTGGTGCCTAGGGGGAGCAGATTGGCTGCAATAATGTGGGGGGGGGGTGACATTATAGCATAGCCAGCATGCCCTCATCCTTGATGTAGGAAGGAGCTGCCATCTACAATCCAAGTAAAGGAGGCATCTGGAAGGGGTTGGTCTGTCAGGTTTGGAAAAGGTATAAGAAAGGTTTGAACAGTGTTTACATAGAAGTGTGTAGGGTCTTGGGTGGTTGTAGCTTCAGGTAAGAGCATGGCTGGGTTTAGACAGGAGCTGGTTAGCATGGTGATGTGGGGAGCTTCTATGAATAGAGTATACAGTTGGGGGAGCCATGGGGCAGAGATGAGTCTTAGTACACTGCTGTGAGCTAGCATGTCTTTGGTGTTAACAGTTGAATGAACTATTAGGTTGTCATGGAGAGATTGTTTTAGGCTTTCATGGGTGAGGACAGCAGCTGCCGCCAATGCTCAGAGGCACACAGGCCATCTGAGAACTGTGGCTTTAAGCTGTTTAGAGAGGTAGGCAATAACCTGGAGGGTGGGTCCCTTAGATTGGGTTAGAACACTCAGTGCAACTCCACGCCATCCATCAGCGTAGAGGGAAAAAGGTTTGGTGAGGTCTGGAAGAGTGCGGACAGGGATTGAGGTGAGAGCCTTCTGGAGTAGACAGAAAGGTTGGGTAATAGGCTGTGCAGGGTTTGAAGGCTCATGGTGAGGGCCTTTAGTGGCTTGGCATAACGGTTTGGCAAGTAGAGCAAAGGAGGAAACCCAGAGTCTAAAATATCCCACTAATCTTAGGAAAGAGAATTTCTTGGGGGGACGGTTCCAAGATGGCCGAATAGGAACGGCTCCAGTCTACAGCTCCCGTCATGAGCAACGCAGAAGATGGGTGATTTCTGCATTTCCAACTGAGGTACTAGGTTCATCTCACTGGGGCTTATCAGACAGTGGGTGCAGGACAGAGGGTGCAGCCCATCGAGCATGAGCCAAAGCAGGGTGAGGCATCGCCTCACCCAGGAAGTGCAAGGGGTCAGGGAATTCCCTTTCCTAGCCAAGGGAAGCTGTGACAGACGGCTCCTGGAAAATCAGGTCACTCCCACCCAAATACTGTGCTTTTCCAATGGTCTTAGCAAACGGCACACCAGGAGATTATATCCTGTGCCTGGCTCAGAAGGTCCCACTCCCACAGGCACAGCAGACTGAGATGGAACTGCAAGGTGGCAGCGAGGCTGGGGGAGGGGTGCCCACCATTGCTGAGGAGTGAGTAGGTAAACAAAGTGGCTGGGAAGCTTGAACTGGGTGGAGCCCACCGCAGCTCAAGGAGGCCTGCCTGCCTCTGTGGACTCCACCTCTGGGGACAGGGCATAGCCAAATAAAAGGCAGCAGAAACCTCTGCAGACTTAAATGTCCGTGTCTGACAGCTTTGAAGAGAGTAGTGGTTCCCCCAGCATGGAGTTTGAGATCTGAGAACGGACAGAGTGCATCCTCAAGTGGGTCCCTGACCCCCAATTAGCCTAACTGGGAGACACTCCCCCCAAGTAGGGGCAGACTGACACCTCACATGGCTGGGAACCCCTCTGAGACAAAGCTTACAGAGGAACGATCAGGCAGCAATATTTGCTGTTCTGCAGCCTCCGCTGCTGATACCCAGGCAAATAGGGTCTGGAGTGGACCTCCAGCAAACTCCAACAGACCTGCAGCTGAGGGTCCTGAATGTTAGAAGGAAAACTAACAAACAGAAAGAACATCCACACCAAAACCCCATCTGTATGTCACCATCATCAAAGACCAAAGGTAGATAAAACCACAAAGATGGGGAAAAAACAGAGCAGAAAAGCTGAAAATTCTAAAAATCAGAGCACCTCTCTGCCTCCAAAGGAATGCAGCTCCTCACCAGCAATGGAACAAAGCTGGACAGAGTTTGACTTTGATGAGTTGAGAGAAGGCTTCAGATGAGCAAACTTCTCCAAGCTAAAGGAGGAAGTTCAAACATATTGCAAAGAAGGTAAAAACCTTGAAAAAAGATTAGACGAATGGCTAACTAGAATCACCAGTGTAGAGAAGTCCTTAAATGACCTCATGGAGCTGAAAACCATGGCATGAGAACTACATGACGAATGCACAAGCTTCAGTATCCGATTTGATCAACTGGAAGAAAGGATATCAGTGATTGAAGATCAAATGAATGAAATGAAGCGAGAAGAGAAGTTTAGAGAAAAAAGAGTAAAAAGAAATGAACAAAGCCTCCAAGAAATATGGGACTATGTGAAAAGACCAAATCTACATCTGATTGGTGTACCTGAAAGTGACGGGGAGAATGGAACCAAGTTGGAAGACACTCTGCAGGATATTATCCAGGAGAACTTCCCCAAACTAGCAAGGCAGGCCAACATTCAAATTCAGGAAATACAGAGAACGCCACAGAGATACTCCTCAAGAAGAGCAACTCCAAGACACATAATTATCAGATTCTCCATAGTGGAAATGAAGGAAAAAATGTTAAGGGCAGCCAGAGAGAAAGGTCGGGTTACCCACAAAGGGAAGCCCATCAGACTAATAGTAGATCTCTTGGCAGAAACTCTACAAGCCAGAAGAGAGTGGGGACCAATATTTAACATTCTTGAAGAAAAGAATTTTTGACCCAGAATTTCATATCCAGCCAAACTAAGCTTCATAAGTGAAGAAGAAATAAAATCCTTTACAGACAAGCAAATGCTGAGAGATTTTGTCACCACCAGGCCTGCCCTACAAGAGCTCCTGAAGGAAGCACTAAACATGGAAAGGAACAACCAGTACCAGCCACTGCAAAAATATGCCACATTGTAAAGACCATCGAGGCTAGGAAAAAACTGCATCAGCTAACGAGCAAAATAACCAGCTAACATCATAATGACAGGATCAAATTTACACATAACAATATTAACCTTAAATGTAAATGGGCTAAATGCTCCAATTAAAAGACACAGACTGGCAAATTGGATAAAGAGTCAAGACCCATCAGTGTGCTGTATTCAGGAAACCCATCTCATGTGCAGAGACACACATAGGCTCAAAATAAAGGGATGGAGGAAGATCTACCAAGCAACTGGAAAACAAGAAAAGGCAGGGGTTGCAATCCTAGTCTCTGATAAAACAGACTTTAAACCAACAAAGATCAAAAGAGAAAAAGAAGACCATTATATAATGGAAAAGGGATCAATTCAACAAGAGGAGCTAACTATCCTAAATATATATGCACCCAATACAGGAGCACCCAGATTCATAAAGCAAGTCCTTAGAGACTTACAAAAAGACTTAGACTCCCATACAATAATAATGGGAGACTTTAACACCCCACTGTCAACATTAGACAGATCAACGAGACAGAAAGTTAACAAGGATATACAGGAATTGAACTCAGCTCTGCACCAAGCGGACCTAATAGACATCTACCGAACTCTCCACCCCAAATCAACAGGATATACATTCTTCTCAGCACCACATCGCACTTATTCCAAAATTGACCACATAGTTGGAAGTAAAGCACTCCTCAGCAAATGTAGAAGAACAGAAATTGTAACAAACTGTCTCTCAGACCATAGTGCAATCAAACTAGAACTCAGGATAAAGAAACTCACTCAAAACCTCTCAACTACCTGGAAACTGAACAACCTGCTCCTGAATGACTACTGGGTACATAATGAAAGGAAGGCAGAAATAAAGATGTTCTTTGAAACCAATGAGAACAAAGACACAACATACCAGAATCTCTGAGACACATTTAAAGCAGTGTTTAGAGGGAAATTTATAGCACTAAATGCCCACAAGAGAAAGCAGGAAAGATCTAAAACTGACACCCTAACATCACAATTAAAAGAACTAGAAAAGCAAGAGCAAACACATTCAAAAGCTAGCAGAAGGCAAGAAATAACTAAGATCAGAGCAGAACTGAAGGAGATAGAGACACAAAAAACTCTTCAAAAAAAATCAATGAATCCAGGAGCTGTTTTTTTTTTTTTGAGAAGATCAACAAAATTGATATACTGCTAGCAAGACTAATAAAGAAGAAAAGAGAGAAGAATCAAATAGATGCAATAAAAAATGATAAAGGGGATATCACCACCAATCCCACAGAAATACAAACTACCATCAGAGAATACTATAAACACCTCTACGCAAATAAACTAGAAAATCTAGAAGAAATGGATAAATTCATCGACACATACACCCTCCCAAGACTAAACTAGGAAGAAGTTGAATCCCTGAATAGACCAATAACAGGCTCTGAAATTGAGGCAATAATTAATAGCCTACCAACCAAAAAAAGTCCAGGACCAGATGGATTCACAGCCGAATTCTACCAGAGGTACAAGGAGGAACTGGTACCATTCCTTCTGAAACTATTCCAATCAATATAAAAAAAGGGAAGCCTCCCTAACTCATTTTATGAGGCTAGCATCATCCTGATACCAAAGCCTGGCAGAGACACAACAAAAAAAGAGAATTTTAGACAAATATCCCTGATGAATAGCGATGCAAAAGTCCTCAATAAAATACTGGCACACCGAATCCAGCAGCACATCAAAAAGCTTATCCACCATGATCAAATGGGCTTCATCCCTTGGATGCAAGGCTGGTTCAACATACGAAAATCAATAAACGTAATCCAGCATATAAACAGAACCAAAGACAAAAACCACTTGGTTATCTCAATAGATGCAGAAAAGGCCTTTGACAAAATTCAACAGCCCTTCATGCTAAAAAGTCTCAATAAATTAGGTATTGATGGGACATATCTCAAAATAATAAGAGCTATTTATGACAAACCCACAGCCAATATCATACTGAATGGGCAAAAATTGGAAGCATTCCCTTTGAAAACTGGTACAAGACAGGGATGCCCTCTCTCACCACTCCTATTCAACATAGTGTTGGAAGTTCTGGCCAGGGCAATCAGGAAGGAGAAAGAAATAAAAGGTATTCAATTAGGAAAAGAGGAAGTCAAATTGTCCCTGTTTGCAGATGATATGATTGTATATCTAGAAAACCCCATTGTCTCAGCCCAAAATCTCCTTAAGCTGATAAGCAACTTCAGCAAAGTCTCAGGATACAAAATCAATGTGCAAAAATCACGAGCATTCTTATACACCAACAACAGACAAACAGAGAGCCAAATCATGAGTGAACTCCCATTCACAATTGCTTCAAAAAGAATAAAATACCTAGGAATACAACTTACAAGGGATGTGAAGGACCTCTTAAGGAGAAATACAAACCACTGCTCAACGAAATAAAAGAGGACACAAACAAATGGAAGAACATTCCATGCTCATGGATAGGAAGAATCAATATCTTGAAAATGGCCATACTGCCCAAGGTAATTTATAGATTCAATGTCATCCCATCAAGCTACCAATGACTTTCTTCACAGAATTGGAAAAAACTACTTTAAAGTTCATATGGAAACAAAAAAGAGCCCGCATTGCCAAGTCAATCCTAAGCCAAAAGAACAAAGCTGGAGGCATCACACTACCTGACTTCAAATTATACTACAAGGATACAGTAACCAAAACAGCATGGCACTGGTACTGAAACAGAGATATAGACCAATGGAACAGAACAGAGCCCTCAGAAATAATACCACACATCTACAACCATCTGATCTTTGACAAACCTGACAAAAACAAGAAATGGGGAAAGGATTTCCTATTTAATACATGGTGCTGGGAAAACTGGCTAGCCATGTGTAGAAAGCTGAAACTGGATCCCTTCCTTATGCCTTATACAAAAATTAATTCAAGATGGATTAAAGATTTAAATGTTAGACCTAAAACCATCAAAACCCTAGAAGAAAACCTAGGCAATACCATTCAGGACATAGGCATGGGCAAGGACTTCATATCTAAAACACCAAAGGCAATGGCAACAAAAGCCAGAATTGACAAATGGGATCTAATTAAACTAAAGAGCTTCTGCACAGCAAAAGAAACTACCATCAGAGTGAAAAGGCAACCTACAGAATGGGAGAAAATTTTTGCAACCTACTCATCTGACAAAGGGCTAATATCCAGAATCTATAAAGAACTCAAACAAATTTACAAGAAAAAAAAAAACATCAAAAAGTGGGCGAAGCATATGAACAGACACTTCTCAAAAGACGACATTTATGCAGCCAACAGACACATGAAAAAATGCTCATCATCACTGGCCATCAGAGAAATGCAAATCAAAACCACAATGAGATACCATCTCACATCAGTTAAAATGTCGATCATTAAAAAGTCAGGAAACAACAGGTGCTGGAGAGGATGTGGAAAAATAGGAACACTTTTACAGTGTTGGTGGGACTGTAAACTAGTTCAAACATTGTGGAAGTCAGTGTGGCGATTTTTCAAGGGTCTAGAACTAGAAATACCATTTGACCCAGCCATCCCATTACTGGGTATATACCCAAAGGATTATAAATCATGCTACTGTAAAGACACGTGCACACGTATGCTTATTGTGGCACTATTCACAATAGCAAACACTTGGAACCAACCCAAATGTTCATCAGTGATAGACTGGATTAAGAAAATGTGGCACAGCTGGGCGCAGTGGCTCACGCCTGTAATCCCAGCATTTTGGGAGGCCAAGGCAGGTGGATCAGAAGGTCAGGAGATCGAGACCATCCTGGCTAACATGGTGAAACCCCGTCTCTACTAAAAATACAAAAAAAAATAGCTGGGTGTGATGGTGGGCACCTGTAGTCCCAGCTAATCAGGAGGCTGAGACAGGAGAATGGCGGGAACCCAGGAGATGGAGCTTGCAGTAAGCCGAGATCGTGCCACTGCACTCCACTCCACCCTGGGCAACAGAGCAAGATTCAATCTCAGAAAAAAAAAAAAAAAAGAAAGAAAGAAAATGTGGCACATATACACCATGGAATACTACGCAGCCATAAAACAGGATGAGTTCATGTCCTTTGCAGGGACATGGATGAAGCTGGAAACCATCATTCTCAGGAAACTATTGCAAGGACAAAAAACCAAACACCGTATGTTCCCATTCATAGGTGGGAATTGAACAATGAGAACACATGCACACAGGAAGGGGAACATCACACACCGGGGCCTGTTGTGGGATGGGGGGACAGGGGAGGGATAGCATTAGAAGATATACCTAATGTAAATGACGACTTAATGGGTGCAGCACACCAACATGGCACATGTATACATATGAGACAAACCTGCACATTGTGCACTTGTACCCTAGAACTTAAAGTATAATAATAAAAAAAAAAAGAAAATTCTTCCAGCAAAAGATATTAACAGGAATTGGGCTTCAGAGAACCCAGTACATGAAGATGTGCAAAATGCCTTGTATAGCCTTTTTTAGTTTGCCTTTATTGCTGTATTGTAAATAGATATTAAAATTGATATTTATGAGTGTCTTCAGATTGAGTTACAGCTCTTGTTTCCCAGCCCTCCCTTTCTCAAGTCTTCCATGCCTCCATTGCAAATTTTCCAGCACAGATATTTTCAGAAGCCGGATTCCTGTATTGGGGAAGTTTTTCTGCACTTTAATCAGTGATTTGTACCTACACAAGGGGAGAGGTTGTAACTCGGGGAGCTAATGTAAAGAGAAGCTGTACCATTTAACATATGTATATGAATTTGTCATTTTTACTTTAAAAAAAAAAAGAGAATTTCTTGCTTAGTTTGTGGAGGTGGGAGGGACTGGAGGAGGGATATGTGGTCGGTTGTAAGCCCTTGGGTTCGCAGGGTAAGGGCTAGGCCTAGATAGGTGACTGAGGGGGTGCATGTTTGTGCTTTCTTAGGGGAGACCTAGTACTCCCGTTCTGCCAAGGAGTTTAAAAGAGAGATAGTATGGGCATTGCAGTTTCTTTGAGAGGGGCTACACAGGAGCTGATTATTAACACATTGAAGGAGAGTGGACGGTTTTAGGGATAAGGTACATAGGTCACGAGCAAGGACCTGTCCAAAAAGGTGGAGACTGTCTCTGAAACCTTGAGGTAGTACGCACCAGGTGAGCTGACGTGAAAGGTGGGTGTCGGGGTTTTCCCATGTAAAGGAAAAGAGGTCTGGAGAATCAGGGTGCAAAGGAATTGTGAAAAAAGCTTTCTTTAGGTTTAGGACAGAAAAATGGGTGGCATTGGAGGGAATTGCAGAAAGTAAAGCATATGGGTTAGGAACTACTAGACACACTGGGAGTATAGCTTGGTTGACGAGCCTAGGTCCTGTACTAAGCGATAAATTCCATCTGGCTTTTTAACAGGTAGAACTGGTGTGTTAAAAGGGAGTTTGTTGGGCGGTGTAGGTGACTGGCAAGGAGGCGAAAAATGATAGGCTTTAGGCCTATGAGAGCTGCTTGGGAGATGGGATACTGCTTCTGTGATAGGAACTGGGTGGGCTTTTTAAGGATAATGCAGATGGGGGTGTGGTGTTCTGCGACTGAGGGTGTGGAAGTATCCTAAACAGCAGGGTTAACTACAGATGGGGGATAAGGAAAAGTTGCATGTTTTAGAGTGGGAGGGTGAAGGAGTAGAAGAAAGCTAGAAGTACTGGAGGGGTCTGGGTAATGTGTTGGGTACTATGGGGAATGTGGAAGTGGAGAGTAGTGTGGAGTTTTGAAAGGATATCTCTGCCTAGGAGCAGGGTTGGGCATGAGGGCAGGACTAAGAAAGAGTGAGTGAAGGAAAAAGGGTGCAGGAAGCAGAAAAGTTGAGGGGTGGCTCGGGGTTTGGAGACTTATCCATGAATTCCCACAACAGAGACTTGGGAGGATTGGGTGGGTTCTGAAAAATTAGATAAAGCAGAGTAGGTTGCCCCGATATTAATTTTAAAAGAACATACTGGCCTACCTTCTACCATCAGAGTTACCCTTGGCTTGGATGAAGAGATGGTAATTGCTGGGGCATCCATTCCAGGGCACCATCAGTCTTCAGCAGTAAGGCTGATGAGATCCAAGTAGGAGGTTTTGGCCAGCTTAGGAAGGGTCGGGGGCGGTCCTTGCGGGGGCTGCTCACAGTCCAACTTCCAGTGGAGTCCTCCATAGAGGGGGCACAGCCTGGTGGGCTTACCTGGATTTGGGCATTGTCTGGACCAGTGGCCTTCATTGCAGCACTTGAAACAGGCGCCAGGTGGAGATGGATTGTTAGGAGGCTTCCGTGTGGAGCTGCGGCCCCGTGGGCCTGCAGGGCCCCTGATGGCAGAGGCAAGCATTTGAAACTCTGCCTGTTTTTGCCTTCTACTTTCCTAGTCACAATTGTTAAAGACTTTGAAGGCTAAATTAGGAAGGTCTCATTGTAGGGTTTCAGGGCTGTCATCAAGCTTCCGAAGCTTGCACTGAATATTGGGGGTGGATTGAGAGATGAACCAAAGGTTTAAAATAGTGGTTTCTGCTGAGGATTTGAAGGGGGAAAAGGGGTTGAGTTACCAGGCAGTGGAGGATAGATAGGGGTGTAAGGTGGCGGGATGGGTTTACAGTCTTCAGGAGAGGGCGGTGAGGAAGGAGAATGGGTACAGGCAATACTAGAATTGTCCTGAGGAGGGGAAGGTGTAGGAAAAGAAGTGGATACAGCTGACTGGGAAGATAGTGGCTAAGAAGATGGCAGCTGGGAAAATGGTGGCTGGGAAGGTGGTGGCTGAGAAGATGGCATCTGGGAAGATGGCGGCTGAGAAGGCAACGAGGAGGCTTGGGGAGTTAAAGAAGATCTTGAGAGGAAGAGGTAGGGGCTGAGAGGGGTGGACAGCAGCCAGCTGAATCAAATGAGGAAAAAGAGGCAGGGTCAGGAGGAGAAAGGCAATCAAGGTGGTGAGAATGGGGGAGAAGGATTTGAACAGGTGAGCAAGAACTGCAGAGGTCGCATTGTGATCTGATTGCAAAAAGGCCTGGACAGAAGGAATTTCTTGCCATTTCTCCAGTTGTGGGCAATAATTGCTTAAATCAGTTAAAATTGTAAAGTCGATTGTTCCATTTGCGGGCCATTCGAACTCATTATCCAATTCGTATTGTGGCCAGACTGAATTGCAAAAACACAAGGTGCTTAGGGCGAGTATCTTGCCTGAGGCCTAAGGTTTACAGGTTTTTTATGAGGCAGCCTAGAGGGCTGTTTTTCAGAATGGAGGACTGGGAGTTTCCCATAATGGAGGGTAGGCTTGGGAGAACAGGGAAAAAGACCTTCCTGGATGGCTGGAGGGAGACAATAAAAGGAGCAATCATCTCCGCTGCCTTTTCATTCCGGAAGGGGATCAAATGGCCTAGAGGCGTCCCCCTAAGACCAGATGATTCAGCGAGTGCCTGGCACATGCCAGAGCCTTCTTGGACCAACACTGGATTTTCAGACCGGAGGAACCAAGAGAGGCCGTGTGGATTTTTCTCTGTTAACCAGGCTCCTGGGGAAACTTACTAGTAGGCGAGATCAGTAACCGATGTGCATGCACAGAGAGGTGACTGGAGGCTGAAGAACTTCCTTTGTCTGGCTGCTGTGGCCTGCTCTCTGGGGTGGAGGGGTAGTTCCAAGGGGGGCACAGACCTGAGCCCCTCCTGGGTTTCAGCACCGGACGTAAGGTTCTTGTGTTGGTTCAAACCCCAAGAGCACGCCAAGAGACAACACAAGGCAATGTGGAGCAACATGCTGTTTTAATGAGCGCCTGGGTGCAGGTGGGCTGAGGCCTAAAATGGCGTTAGCCCCTAGTGAGGACAGGACAAAGCTTTTATAGTCTCCTGTAAACGGGAAGTGTCCTAGTCTGATGTAACTGCTACGTTATGCCCAGATGGCCTTTTTCTCGATCTTCAGGGGTACATGTCATCTGGCCGGCTCTCTTCTTGCTTCTGCTATCTTGCTGGCTCACGCTGCTGACACAAGTGGCCTTGTGCTTTGGGACTGGGCCTGAGAAGGGAGGAGTTATTCATCTCCTTAAGCTTTCAGGCCCCAGGGAGAATCTTACAGCAAGGACTGGAGGGAAGTTTCATAGGATCATGCTGAAGGGGGCTCCATGTAGAACGAGGTCATGCTGCTGGGGCTTCCTGCAGAGCGAGGTAGTTGTGCCAAAACGTTGTTTGCGATTAGCCATCTGTATTAGGGTTCTCTAGAGGGACAGAACTAATAGGATAGATGTCTATATGAAAGGGATTTTATTAAGGAGAATTGACTCATAATGATCACAAGGTAAAGTCCCATGATAGGCCATCTGAAGGTGAAGAGCAAGGAATCCAGTGGTCGATCAGTCAGAGTCCCAAAACCTCAAAAGTAGGGAAGCCAACAGTGCAGCCTTCAGTCTGTGGCCAAAGGCCTGAGAGCCCCTGGCAACCCACTGGTTAAGTCCAAGGGTCCAAAAGCTGAAGAACTTGGAGTCTGATGTTTGAGGGCAGGAAGCAACCAGCACAGGAGAAAGATAAAGATCAGAAGACTCAGCAAGTCTGCTCTTCCATCTTCTGCCTGCTTTATTCTAGCGACGGGGGCAGCTGATTAGATGGTGTCCACCCAGACTGAGGGTGGGTCTGCCTCTCCGAGTCCACTGACTCAAATGTTAATCTCCTTTGGCAACTCCCTCACAGACACACCCAGGAACCGTACTTTGGGTCCTTCAATCCAGTCAAGTTGATGCTCAATATTAACCATCACACTGTCTCTCAGAACAATCATTCTCCTTAACCTGGAACCCTTTCCTCATTGCTGTTTACTTACCTTATCAGGACTCCACAATAAGGTTGGTTAGAGATTTGGGAGCAAGATCACTCAAGTTCAAATCCCAGCTTTCTCACTTACTAAGTCAGCTGGCTCTTCCTTAAGTGGTTTAACCCCTAACTCCATGCTTCAGTTTTCTCACCTGTAAAATGGTCATTAAAAATACTTGCCCCTTAAGGACTGTCAAGAGAATTATGTTATTACATGTGGAAATGTGATAATGATATAGGAGTTAAAAAGAAATTATTTAGACAGATAGGGTAAGAAAGTCCTCAGTAAGGTTTTCCCTTGAATGAAAAGCAGCCCCAAATCATTTCTTTTATAACAAAAAAGGAGCCTAAAAAACCAAGCCACAGCATAGATAAGCAAGCTGGAAGCTTGCATGGATGAATGCTGGCAGCTGTGCCAATAGGAGAAGGCTACCTGGGGGCTAGGCAAGTTCAACATGGCGGCTCCATCTTCCCTTTTCCTTGTCAACCACGTGTACAGTAAGGAGCAGACAACATGGCCACTGACCAGGTAGAAAACCCATTTGCATGATAAAAAGATTAGGGTCGTGTGGCCAGCTTCTTCACAGACTATGTAAATGTCACACCTGCTCCAACCAATCTTTAGGTCCTATGTAAATCAGACACTGCCTCTTCAAGCCAGTCTATAAACCCCAAACTTCTTCCTCCTCCCCTCCACCCTGCACACTCCACCATGGACCATGGACCATGGACCAGAAGTCCCACTTTGACGCCCCTCTCTCTCTGCAGGAGAGAGAGCTATTCTCCTTTCTCTTTCTTTTGCCTATTAAACCTCTGCTCCTAAACCCATTCCTTGTGCATCCATGTCTTTGATTTCCTTGGCTTGAGACAACAAACCTTGGGTATTTCCCCAGACAAATAATGTCACTTCAATAATATATGAAAAGTATTTAGAATGTATGTTTATGTGCCATATAAATGTTTGCACATAACTGAAGGAAATTATTAGTTTCCTTCAGTAGACATTTTCACTTAGTCACCATGAGCATTTTACATTTTTCCTATTTCTTGTGAAATAATAAGCCTGGCCTTACTATGTGAAAAGCTAACTCAGCTGACCTTGGCAGGCAATGGCAATGAAAGTTACCACCAAAGCGTTTTCCTCTAATCCAGTGGTTCTCAGCCTTTGTCTTACCCTGGAACTCAGGGAACTTTACGTAGTACTGATGCCTGGGACCCAGCCCCAGATTTGCTCATTTAATTGGTTTGGGGGCAGTCTAAGTATTGGGTGTTGTAGAAGCTTCCCAGATGGCTCTAGTGCACAGCCAAGGTTGAGAACTCTCGCCAAACCTTCTTTCATGGAGGTGAAGTGCGAGTGGGGTTTTTGAAGGTCAGATTCACTCACCACATGAAACCAGGATGTTAGTAGTGCTTCTTGAAAAATAAGTGTTTCAATGCCAAATACATTTTAGAAGTTCTGGGTTAAACAACAGCAAATAATAAACAACCTTTGTTTGCTAGAGGATTTATAGGACTTTTAAGGGCCTTTGGTATGTTAATGGACATTGAAACTCTCAAAGAGGGGGAATTATACATGGAGCCTTTCCTAAACTAATTTAACCACAGAAACTTTTTGAGTTTGAGTGTCTTGGGGAACTGGCAATCTGAGAAATACACTTTGGAAAATGCTAAATTTATGGCAATGCCAAAAGCAGTGTGGAAAACTGAGCGAAGGCAGAGCCTAGGGGAGCTCTTGGGTCTCCTGATCCTGACTCCCCTGTTCCTGGCTCTCCCCTGACAGAGCATTCTAGCCTGTTACCGCCACTCACTTTACTGAGAAGAAAGAGATCACCCAAAAAGGACAGAAATTGCCCATCCCGGTCCAAGGGGAGAAAAACAATGCAACACAGGGGAACGGTAGTGGACTCAGTGTTCGGCTGCCCTGGAAGCCTGAACAAAATAGAATTTTTGTTAGGACTGGAGTCCTTGGCTTCCAGGTGTGACTCAGGAACCATCAGTATGATGGTGGGGTGAAAAGGATGTTGGGCTGTCTGTCCAGAAACCCGAGCATAGTATTCAGAAAACTGCCTCCATCCTCTGACTTGCTTTTCTTAGTTAAGCTAAAATTGTGGCTAGAAATTGCAGCTATACAGTCACTAATTTCCATGACTTAATAGTATATCCCTTTCACTTTAACCTTATCTTGTACAGTGCATCGTTTTCAAAACTTTTTCACACATATTGTCTCATTAGATTCACAGAACAATCTTATCTGCTAGGCAGTGCTAGTATTCTTGTTATCCATATTTTTCAGAGGGGAAAACTGAGGCCTAGAGAGGTGAGTTGACCTGCCTGAAATTACAGAAGTCTGTGATGAACCCAGGTTTGAGTGTAGATCTTTCTGCCACATGTTCTTTCCACTGTGTTCTGAACCTGCTTTCAAATTACAGATTTATAGAATTCTTATGGGGGGGATCTTCCTTTCCCCAGGATCCATGTTTCCAAGTGAGGAGTAGCAGGCCTACCTCTATCTACATTAACCCATTTTCCCCAACAGAGGGTAGAAAGAGTGACAATTGATTGGAAAGTTTGGGAGCAGAGGGTGAGATCCCTGGGCTTATCCCCTTCCGTACTTGGCTGTGGGCATCTGCAGGCAGTGCACAGTCTCTTCTGCACCAGCCTTATGGCAAGAGAAGGCACAGAGTTTGGGGAGGAAAGATAAATTCAGAGGAAGGTTAGCGGCTCCTTTAGCTGCATGCTGAGCCATGGCCTCCAACAGAGCTTTTATCACAATAAAACCTATTTTGATCTCCATCATCTATAATTCCTGAGTGTGGCTCTTTTACAATAGATTCCAAACATGGGTAGGGAAATGGGCCATTATTTATTAGTCCCCCCCAGACCTTATAAATTTTATAGCTGAATCAAACCTGAAGTTATTTGGTCTAAGCTGCTGCTTTTAAAAAATGAATCATCTGAGTAACAGTCAGGTTTTATTACTTGCTGAAAATCACACAAAGCTGATTAATGCATAAGCCACTGGGTATCCTGACTTACCGGGAACCATTACTTTTGTCCATTTAAGCATGGTTTCTTCAGGATTACCCAAGAGGGAGGCTGAGCTCATGTTTGGAGCACCGCCCCCCTCCCCTCCACACACACACACACAGCAGGTGGCCATAACAAAATGAGGAAACAAATGTTATAAATAAATTGATATTCAGTGAGGTCCAATAAATCATTGAAGTAATCATTGTGGTTGGGAGAGAAAATTACAATTTATTGGGCATCCCTAACCTTCAGGATAGTTCTTAGTTTGAATTATACATGAGAATATCAGTCAGTTTTACTGCAGTAAGAACCCCCAAATTCCACTGGCTTATAATAACCAGCATTTATTGATCATGAATTTTAATTGTTGGCTGGTGCAGGTCATTTGTGGTGGTTCTTCCCAGCCCTGTTCCCCATGTTTTCTCTCTCTAAGACCCAGGCTGAAGAAGCAGCCCATATTCGGGACATGGCATACTTGTGGAAGAGGAAACAGAGCAGAATTCATGGAACCCATGGTGCCTTTTAAAGCAACTTTTACACAAGGCAGACAACACTTCTGCTCACATCCCTTTGGCCAAAGCCTGTCACATGGCCAAGTAAAGAGGGATGTAAGCTGCTCCCTCAGGAGGACTACAAGTCCCATGGCCATAAAAGGGCACGTATAATAGAGAAGGAGAGAGCACATACTTGAGAGAAATAATACAATCATCCACAGAGTGTACGCCGGCTCTGTAGAAGTCCTAATCTGGACCTGGCCTTAAAGTGAGAATATATCACCCTTTTGACCCTCTGGAAAACCCTCCCCTAGAGTTAGAATGGGGTGGAGGAGGTTGAAATGTAAAAGGAGGAGAGAGTTGCATCAGGTGAAGGGAGTAGTCCTGTAAAATGTGCTTTGGATTGGAGTCCACTAAAGAGACCATCCCCAACCCCTCCCCGGGGCACTAGATGTCTTGCAGGTTATTCATGCAGGAGAGGGAAAATTGGGTATGCAGTGGCACAAATAATCCAAAACTCATTGATATTTGAATACTTAATGCTGTTTGTGATTTCTGTAGCCAGCATAGTTCCCTTCTTGATTGCACTTCACTGGGATCACTGTGAAGGTTGCTTGGTATTCCCCACGCACACAGCAGCTAATGGGAAGAAGACAGTGAGGAGGAGCATGAGATGAAAGTCAACTAAATAAGGTGAGGCTGGCCACAAAAGTGATTAATTCTCATAGGGACAAATGAGTAACCTCTTACTCCCAGCTGAATTCTAAGCCTCACACAGGGAATGAGAGAGAGCAAATCTCGTGAGACTTCACTGCCTTCTCCAACTATTGATTCTGCAGTAGCCTCACCCATTCTCCCAGGATGTAAACTCAAGATTGGTGAGGAGAGGCCAGGGCTCACGCAAATTATAGCCTGCAGCATGCTGCAGCCCTTGAAAGGAGTTCAAAATTTTTTTTCTTTATTCCCTCTTGTATAAAGGAGTGATTGAAGGCCCACTAGTTGCAAATGTGTGGGCACTATAGGGAAGTCAAAAGTAATAAGGAGACACTATCCCTGCCCCTCCAAAATTATTGCTAGTGATGATAACATTTTATAACTTTAAAGCTCCTTTAATGTTTTAAGTTGCTGCATAGTAGGAGGCCAGAGCTATAGAAGCAGCTCTGTAACCAAGAAGCTACCAGAGGCCCCCTCTAAGATTTTTCTGTCCTTAGAGACGTTTTTCATGTTCTCAAGCTTGTAAGGTGCAGTACCCAGGGTTGTGGTGGTACCCAGCCTGGGAGGTGGTGTCTGTGGGCTTATGAATTTGGGAGATAGCACTCAGCTAAAGTAGCTAAGCTACCAGAAATAAAACAACAGAAAAAAATGCAAAATCTCTTGTCCATGCACCATTTTGCATTACCTCACTGTCTAGAAAAATAGTTTGCAATATTGCTGAGTGGTTAAGAGCTTAATTTTTTACAATAGACTATCAAGTTCAAAACTTGACTTACCCATTTATTACCTGTGTGACCTTGGAAAAGTTATCTTACTCTGTGTGCCTCAGTTTCCTCGTCTAGAACTAGGATTGTTATGAGAATCCAAAACACAATGTTTTATTTTCTTGTTGCTTAGCTAATTACAAAACACACACTGAAGCAGCACTAAGAATATGATGGTTCTACTATAACAGTACAAGTCTAAGTCTCTTGAGATACTAAGGTTCAGGCATGTGATTTAGTTTCTTTCAACCAGACCTAACTGCAAGGGCCTATGATTTGGAAGTGAGGAAATGGCAGGTATGGGATTTCCATTTTGCAGCCCGGGGGGTGGCAGAGGCCACAAGTTTCTATGATTGGAAGTGGGGGAAGCAGGAGAGGCCACTTGCTATCATGGATAGGGCAGTGGGGTCCTGGGATCAGTGGCCAGTTCCTCAGGGTGTTTCCAGGAGTTGTTAGTAGAAATCAGCCTAGAATTGTCCCTCTAGTCCTTTTTGTGACTCTGGGAGCTAGGGAAAGTAGCCTGGGCTCCAATCCTGGCTCTGCCGCTTAATAATTGTGTGATCTCAGGCAAGTTATCTCACTGCTTTATGCCAGTTTCCTTATCTGAAAAGTGGTACAAATAGGTAGCTGTTGCATAGGGTTTTCATACAGTATAAAGGAGTTAATATAGGTAAAGCATTTAGAATGCATCCTGACACATGGTAAATACATTAATGTTACATTATGGTTGTTGTTGCTTCTGTTGTTATTATTACTAATAATATATTTCAAACTAGCTAAAGTGGATTCTTTTATCTATGAGTAAAAGCACAGATTAATACAAAGAGCAACATGCTATGTACTTGAATTTTTAGGTAAAGAAGTATTAATATATATGCATTGGTGCCTGAAAAGGCCAAGAAACTATAGTTTAGAAAGTGTATAAATGGATGAAGACAATTAAAAAAAATCATTAATGAAGTCAGGGAATTACAGGATGGAATGCAGAATAGGGACAATCAACTGTGTTACAAGAATATGAAAAACCTCACTGAAAGAAGTATAGAGAAAAGGTGCTGATTTAAGCAACTTTGGAAATGAGCAGAGACCTTAAGACTAAAGGCAAAAGAAACTGTACACAAGCACTGTATCCAAACTGATAAAGGCTTTCCTACACAGATTACAGGCAAGTGGAGGAGGCTAGAATGACTCATATGGTAATAGATTAGAGTTAAAGATGTTAGAATTAACTCTGCTGGGTGTGGTGGCTCATGCCTATAATCCTAGCACTTTGGGAGTCCAAGGCAGGAGAATTGCTTAAGCCCGAGTTCAAGACCAGCCTTGGCAACGTAGTGAAACCTCATCTCTACAAAAAACATGGGAAGTAGCTGCGTGTGGTGGTGCACTCTTGTAGTCCCAGCTACTTGGAAGGTTGAGGATCACTTGAGCCCAGGATGCGGAAGTTGCAGTGAGCCAAGATCATGCCACTGCACTCCAGCCTGAAAGCAGAGATTCTGTCTCAAAAAAAAAAAAAAAAAAAGAGAGAGATTTGCTCATTTTCAGCTTAATATAGTTAAATGTATAAATATTTGTAAATAGGTGTATGTACACAGGTTAGCACATATACATATAATTCTCTCTTCTGTCAGCTAAGAAAGCCTAAAAGAAACAACATCTTTATGGCACACCTAGTGCTCAGATCTTGGTTCCTTATATCATTCTGCAATAAAAGGAACCAGGGATCCTTGAAGAAATTGCCTGTTCTAGCACTAGTGAAGGAAACACAGAAGATAAGCCTGGAGTAGCACCTTATAGTGCCAAAAAGTAAGAAAGCGCTAAGAAAGAAAGAGAAAGCGGGGCTGGGGAGAGGAAGTAGGGAAGGTAAGGAAGGGGAGGGGAAAAGAGAGAAAGGGTGGAGACAGGGGGTCCAAGGTAATAGGATACATCAATAGGAGACAACTATAAGAGTTCCCAATGGCCAACTCTGGGTCAATTTGAGTGCCAAAATAAAATTATAACCCAAACTATAAAATAAATATCCATGAGTCTATACAGATATAGATGATTTTAAAAATAAATAATTGGAGTAAAAGGGACAAATCTGTGAAGAACAATTCCAAGTGATTTATGTGAATACTCCACCTCTAGTATGTGGAGCATAACTCCCCCCGACCAAAATGTGAGCTATCTATACTGATTTCCTTGCAAAAAGTACAATATGGAAAGGTGAATGGGGAGCAGGCAGTAATTTGCTATAGAGAAATCTGACAAACAATACCTTGGCTAGGTGATCAAGGTCAAAGTCAGTAGTGCTCAGTCAAACAAATCATATGTACCCTTGATATGATTTAGTGAGATACTGAAGGATAATATAATGAGGCTAACTGTATTACCCCTGTGCTCTTCCTCCCAAAAACCTATAACCCCAGCCTAATCATGAGGAACAAAATTAGAAAAATCCAAATTGAGGGACAGTCTCTACAAAATACCTGACCTGTACTCTATCCCTCAAACTGTCAAGGTCATCAAAAATAAAGAATGTCCAAGAAGATGTCACAGTCTCGAGGGGCCTAAGGAGACATAACAACTAATGGAATGTGGTCTCTTGGATGGGATCCTGGAACAACAAGAAAAGGCATTAAGTAAAAACTAAGCAAATCTGTATAAAGTATGCATTGTGGTGAATTTTTTAAAAAGTGAATGAAGAAATTTCAAAAGAAGAGATAGACAATGACAAAAGCTTTATTAATATCAACATTTTGAAGACACAGACCCAGCAACTGGAAGGGACAATCCTGCCATACAAGAAGCTCTTTTGGATTCTACAGTAGATGCAGAGAATGCCTTCTGCTGGTGGACCTGTTATACCACAACTGAAAGTTGTGATTTGGACTGATATTAGAACCTGTAAAAACTACACTGATGAAGTTCTCCAGCACAAGTTGGAGCTAAATCTGCTTTAAAAGAGACCCGGGAATTATTCTGATAAATTTTGTAGTGAAATTAGTAGGATTCTCAGAAAGATCAGCCTCTGAGAAGTATGTATCAACAATCAACTTCAACACTTGGTTCAGGAATACTGTGCTCCACATCCCAGCTGCCTAAGACAAGAGATGGTGCCAGCTGGGAAAAGAGAGAAGAAACTAAAAGGAACAGATTTTTTTTTTTTCTAAAATCACAGAAGGATAAATGAGAAAAGGAATAATACATTAGCAGCATTTCTAATGGTACCATTTTGGTAAATCTTAAACAGAACACAACTGAGGCAACAATTTAGAAGGACATTAGAATTTATGAAGCGGCTCCAGTCAAAAGTTGAGCAAATAATATGACTAGGGATATGCCTAAAGCAATTATCCCAGAATGTGCAGTAGATGTTTCTTAAAATGTATTGTTACACTTGCTCCTAATCAGTTGCTTTCTCATGTTCAGTTATATTTCATTTTGCTTAATCTGTAAAAACAATATATCACAGAACCTGTTCAGTGGGTGAGGGAATATATATGTATCTAAATACATGTATATATCATATATATCTAAATACACATAAAGATATATACGCACACATATATATATACATAAATTGTGTTATGATGAATGTAATTTAAAGCTCTTGAGAATTAATATGATGTTTAATCGAGTCATTTTAAATGATCTTTAAGAAAGCATAATAGTGACCATCTCATTTGATTTTCTGAGGAATTTTGTGAGGTAATAACACCAGGTATTGTAATCCTCATGTTACAGAGGGGAAAATAAGCCCAGAGAGGTTAAGTGGCTTGCTCAAGGTCACAGAGTTAGAAGAGCTTGCAATATAGTTGGGGTAATAAAACACATCCAGGCACATAAAACATCCTGAAATAATTAGAAGCTTGTGGTTTTTTTCTGAATCGAATTTCCAAGCCCCAAAGATATTCTCCTAACTAAAAAGAGATCCACACAAACAAATCATTTTTGTCTGCCTGAGAAATACAGCGGGTTCTTTTCGAGGGTGAAAAACAAATTTGCCTTCTTCGAGCTTGCAGATGAAGTAGAAATATTGGTGCAAGACTTTTACAGTTCATTAACTGTCATCCAGAGCAAGGAAGATTTGTGGCTTGCTTAGGGGACCGCTGGGCAGGGGTACGACACGCATGCCAATAGGTTTAACTGTTTAGCAACGGGCTGTGGCAACAGACCAGGAGGCCACCAGCTCCTAGACAAGGGCAATGAGGACATCAGTCACACTCAGAGTAGATTGCTTTGGGTCCTCACATTAAAAAAATCTCTAGAATATTGTGTGTAGAATTATTTTTATGTTCTTTCTGGAGGTTTCCATTGTAAAATCAATATTTATAAGCCACTTCTGGAAGACCTATGTTGTTAGTATTAGGTACTGTAAATTGAATATTACAGCCATCAGCTCTACATTTCTAGTTCTTTAGATTTATAAGCAGCATTTCAGATATGCCAGAGTGAAGGACAAAAGTTAGACTAAAATCTATGGCAGAAAAGAGCAATTAACACATTTATTCAATGACCAAGCAAAGTGTTCTTTTAGTTTCAACAGAATTACTTGGTATTCTGCCCATGACAGGTTGTTTACTCTAAAATAAATTTCTAAAGAATTGACTGGTTTGGATCAAATGTGTAATCCTGAAGGGCATAAGAAAACACCTGGAATTCGATTTTTTTTAGTTCCCACATATGAGTGAGAACATATAATGTTTGTTTTTGTTTTTCTGTGCCTGCATAAGAAAACACCTGGAATTTGATTTTGAGGTCAATCACTCATCTTGAAAAAAAAAAGTGACTGGAAACTTCCTAATGAGCTTATCTTGTGATTGTCCTGATGTTTGGACCACTGTGCTACATCTGTTGATGTTTGTTGTTTATTTTGGGTGAAAAAAAGTCTTCTGTGCCTATGTGAGTAATCAATGCCTGATATTAAGTGATATTGTGTTAGATTTACTTAGAAGTAAATCAAAAGAGCTTGCATTTCACAGAGGGATATACACAGTTAATATTGCCCCATGCTGAAAACTTCAACCAAGGCACATGCTATTATTTACAGTAACAAACAATTACCCTTCACAATAGAACTAAAAACAGAATTCTGACTCATGAATATGCTTTTAATATTTCCCTGCTGTGGACATTAATTTTTCCCCACCCTGGAATACACTGAGAAAGAGTGTTGTGTACATGCAGAAGAGTGCATGTGGATGTACATGTGCCTGTGTGTGTGAATATAAATAGTGAATAAAACAGAACTCCACTCATTATTTTTTACTAAACACAAATAATAACATCTAGTAAATGTTTAGCAAATGTTTAACAAATGTTCTGAAAATTTTAATACAGAGCAAAGATTATTACTGATCTATTATTTTAAGACTATTAGTATAATTAATCTTTCAGTGAGTGATACACAAAATATTATGATGATCCTTTGAGACCATAATCATGTTGTCAATGATGAATTTTTTATTTTTTATTTTTATAGGTATATAAGAAATATATATATTTTCAGAGTACTTGTGATAATTTGATACCTTCAAATAATCAAATCAGGGTAATTGGGATATCCAACACTTTAAATATTAATCCTTTCTAATTATTCTCTTCTAGCCATTTTGAAATGTACAATTGATTAATGTTAACTACGGTCACCCACCTGATCTATCAAACACTATGTTTTATTTCTTCTAAGTGTATATTTATACCCATTGATCAACCTGTCTTCATCCCTCTCTTCCTCTACCCTTCCCAGCCTCTGGTAGCCACCAATCTACTCTCAGTCTTCATGA
The DNA here is from genome assembly GCF_000001405.40 of Homo sapiens. NCBI lineage: Eukaryota > Metazoa > Chordata > Mammalia > Primates > Hominidae > Homo > Homo sapiens. Next base: position 51,685,113 of record NC_000018.10, on the reverse strand, counting down.
GATCCACTTTTTTAGTTCCCACATATGAGAACATATAATGTTTGTTTTTGTTTTTCTTTGCCTGACTTATTTCTCTTAATACAATTACCTCCAGTTTCATCTATGTTGCTGCAAATAACAGGATTTCATTTTTCATGGCTGAATGATATTCCATTGTATATATATCACATTTTTATTATCCATTCATCCAATGATGGACACAACGGTTGATTTCATATTTTGGCTATTATACATACAACTCCAATAAATATGGAAGTACAGATATCTCTTTGATATATGGATTTCCTTTCTTTTGGATATATACCCAGCTGGATATATGTTAGCTCTAGTTTTAGTTTTTAAAGGAAACTTCATACTGATTTCCTTAGTGGCTGTATTAATTAACCTTCCCACCAACAGTATACAAGGGTCCCCCTTTCTCCATATCCTTACCAGCAGCTGTTACTCCTTATCTTTTTGATAAAAGCCATTCTAATTGGGGTGAGACGATATATCATTGTTGTTTTGATTTGCATTTCTCTGATGCTTAGTGATGTTGAGCATTTTTTTACATACCTGTTGGTCATTTGTACGTCTTTTTTATGAGAGATGTCTATTCATGTCCTTTGTCTACTTTTTAATTTAATTGTTTGTTTGCTTTTTTGCTATTGTTTGAGCTCCTTATATTAATTTATTCTGATAAGTGTTTTCTGATCTGCATTTCTCTGATGATTAGTGATGTTGAGCATTTGTTCATATACCTGTTAGTCATTTGTATGTCTTTTCTTGAGAGATGTCTACTCCTGTCCTTTGTCCACTTTTTAATTGAATTGTTTGTTTGCTTTTTTGCTGTTGAGTTGTTTAAACTCCTTATATTAACATATTTGATGAAGGTTTTTATCATAAAGCCATGTTGAATTTTACCTAATTCTTTTTCAGTATCTATTGAAATGATCATAAGCCTTTTATTCTTGGTTCTAATAATACAATGTATTATATTTATTAATTTGCATACATTGAACCAGTCTTGCATCCTGGGATGAATCGCACTTGATCATGGTGAATGATCTTTTTAATATGTTGTAATGTTGTTGAATTCACTTTGCTAGTGTTTTGTTAAGGATTTTTTCATCTGTGTTCATCAGTAATGATGGCCTGTAGTGTTATTTTTCACTTGTGCCCTTGTCTGGTTTAGGTATCGGGGTAATTCTGGGCTTATAGAATGAGTTTGGAAGTATTCTCTTTTCTTCAGTTTTGCTGAAGAGTTTGAGTACAATTGGTATTAGTTCTTCTTTAAAGGTTTGGTAGAGGGCTGGGCATGGTGGCTCACACTTGTTAATCCCAGCACTTTGGGAGGCTGAGGCAGGTGGATTATTTGAGATCAGGAGTTTGCGACCAGCCTGGCCAACATGGCAAAAACCCATGTCTACTAAAAATTCAAAAATTAGCCAGGCATGGTGGTGCACATCTGTGATCTCAGCTGTTCAGGAGGCTGAGACAGGAGAATCTCTTGAACCTGAGAGGTGGAGGTGGCAATGAGCTGAGATCATGTCACTGCACTCCAGCCTGGGTGACAGAGTGAGTGAGACTTCATCTCAACAAATAAATATAAATAAATGTTTGGTGGAATTCAGCAGTGAAGCTATCAGGTCCTGGGCTTTTCTTCGATGGTAGGCTTTTTCTTACAGCTTTGATCTCATTACTCACTGTTGTTTTATCGAAGTTTCTATCACTTCATGGTTCAATCTTGATAAGTTGTATGTTTCCAGAAATTTATTCATTTCTTCTAGGTTTTTCAATTTGTTGACAATATAGTTGTACATAATAGTCTCCAATTCTTTGTATTTCTGTGCTCTCAGTCACTATGTCTCCTTTTTCATTTAATTTTATTTATTTGGATGTTCTCTCTTTTTTTCTTAGTCTAGCTAAAAGTTTGTCAATTTTGTGTATCTTTAAAAAAACAACTTTTCAGTTCATTGATTTTCTGTATTTTTTTAGTTCCAATTTTATTTATTTATGCTCTAATTTTTATTATTTCTTTCCTTCTACTAACTTTGGGTTTGATTTTTGTTCTTGATTTTCTAATTCCTTGAAGTGCATCATTAGGTCTTTTATTTGAAGTCTTTTTCCTTTTTTCATATAGGCATTTATTGCTATAAACTTCTACTAAAAATACTGCTTTTGCTGTATCCTATAGATTTTTGTATGTTGTCTTTCTGTTTTTATTGTTTTAATGAAGTTTTTGTTTCCTTCTTAATTCCTTCATTGACCCATTGGTCGCTCAGAAACATGTTGTCTAATTTGTATGTGGTTATGTTGTTTCTGAGGTTCTTCTAGTTATTGGTTTCTAATTTTAGTCCATTGTGTTCAGAAAATATAGTTGATAAGATTTCTGCTTTTTTGAATCTGTTGAGACTTATTTTGTGGCCTGAAATATGGTCTTCTGGAGAATGTTCCATGTGCTGATAAAAAGAATGTATTTTGCAACAGTTAGGTAAAATGCTAACTCTGATGTTTCTTTGCTGAATTTCTGTCTAGATGATCTGCCCATTACTGAGAATGGGGTGTTGAAGTCCCCTATTATTACTATATTGCAGTCTACTCTCCTTTTAGATCTATTAATGTTTGCTTTATATAATTGGGTGCTCTGGTGTTGGGTGCATAGCTATTTATGATTGTTATATCCTCTTTTTGAACTGAGTTCTTTTTATCATTATAGAATGACTTTCATCATCTCTTTTTACAGTCTCAGACTTGTCTGTTTTATCTGATATCTGCATAGCTACTCCTGCTCTTTTTTAGTTTTCACTTGCATGGGATATCTTTTCTATCTCTTACTTTCAGTTCTTATGTGTCTTTATAGGTGAAGTTGGTTTCTTGTAGGCAACATATAGTTCAGTCTTGTTTCTTCATCTATTCAGCCACTCTATGGCTTTTAATTGGTGAATTGAGTCCAGTTATATTCAGTGTTATTAATGATAAGTAAGGACTTACTATTGCCATTGTATTGCTGGTCTTCTGGTTGTTTGGAACTCCTCTCTTCCTTTCTTTATTTCTTACTGTCTTCCTTTTTGGTTAAATTATTTTCTCTGGTAGTATATTATAATTCATTACTTTTTTGTTTTTAGTGTATCTGCTGCAGATTTTTGCATTGTAGCTACTCTGGCATTTAAAAAAAAATCTTATAGATATAACAAGTTATTTCAAAGAGATGATAACTAATTTTAAATCTTGAAAAAGAATAGAAACAAATGAAGAAAAAACCAAAAGTTTATATTTTAACTTCATCTCCCCACATTTTGATCTTTCATTGTCTCAATTTACATCTTTTTATATTGCCCATCTCTCACCAGGTTGCTGTTGCTGTTATTGTTTTTGATAGATTAGTCTTTTAGGCTTCATACCAAAGTTATGAGTGGATTGCATACCACAACTACAGTATTGGAGTATTATGGAGTTACCTTTGTGCTTAATTTTACCAGTGGGTTTTATACCTTCAAACATTTTCTTTTTTCACATTAGTATTTTTTTTCAGACTTAAGAACTCCCTTTAGCATTTCTTATAAGTCAGATCTGGTGGTGGTGAATTCTCTCAGCTTTCATTCATCTGAAAAAACTTTATCTCTTTTTCATATTTGAAGGATAGCTTTGCTAAATACAGTATTCTTGGATGGCAAGCTTTGCTAAATACAGTATTCTTAGATGGCAAGTTTTTTTCTTTTAGCACTTTGAAACTGCCATCCCACTCCCTCCTGGCCTGTATCGCTTCTGTTGAGAAGATTGTTGCCTGATGAATTGGAGTTCCCTTATATATTATCTGTTTCTTTTCTGTTTCTTCTTTTAGGATCCCCTTTTTCCTCAACCTTTGAGAATTTGATTATATGCCTTGGGGTGGTCTCATTAGATTAAATCTGTTTGATGTTCTCTAACCTTCTTGTAACTGAATATTTATATCTTTCTTAATTTCTGAAAAGTTTTCTGTTTTTGTTTCTTTGAATAAACTTTCTACCCTCTTGTCTTTTTCAACTCCCTCTTGAATACCAATAGTTTTTGGATTCGGTCCTTGGAGATAATTTGCTATATCTCGTAGGCAATCTTCATTCCTTTTCATTCTTTTTTCTTTTCCTCTTCTGACTGTAATGTCAAATAGACTGTCTTCAAGTTCACTGATTCTTCCTTCTGATTGATCCATTCTGCTGTTGAGAACCTCTAATTAATTTTTTAGTTTATCAAACATATTTCTCAGTCTAAGATTTCCATTTGATATTTTTTATTATTTCAATTTCTGTTGTATTTCTCCAATAAATTTCTGAATTGATTTTTTGTGTTATGGTGTAATTCACTGAGTTTTCTTAAAAGTACTATTTTGAATTCTAGGTCAAAGAGCTCACAAGTTTCCATCTTCTTTCTGTCCAATGCTGGTTCTTTGCTTTGTTCATCTAGGGAGGTCATGGTTTTCTGCTGTTGTTTTTGTGGAGATAAATATATGTATTTGCATTAAAAGGTTAGTTATTTATTACTATCTTCTCTGTCTTGCTTTTTGTTGTTGGTGGTGGGTGTTGTATATGTTTGCTTAGAGGTTCTTAGTAATTTACTTGTTGAATTTCTTAATTTTTTTTTTCTGCTAGGTCACTGTCAGCATTAGATGGCACTTTAAGCCCAGATTTGCCTTGGCTCTAGCACACAATCAGAGCGCTGTTCCTCCAGAATGTGGGAGGTCCCAAAGGGCATATTGCAGCAGTATGAGAAGGCTGGTTAGGGATTTGTGTCCATGGGACCTGTGGAACATACTTCCTACAGCCTGGTGGTGCTGAACAGCCACTCTGATTTGGTGTCTCTTTTGCCTGAGTTACGGACCAGGGTTTCCAGGGCTGGATGGAAGTCTCACCTTCCTCCTTTTTCTCTTGATGTCCTCGGAGATATTTTTCCCTTCAGGCACTCATGATGCTGCCCATGTGTTGAGGCAGAAACAGGTCTCCTGCCAGTAAACCCAAGATAGTGGGGAAGCTGATTGTCCACCTCAATCTAACTTTTTCCAGTGTAGAAACCATGAGTCAGAAGAAATTTTCTGCATGCTTGGTGCTGGGCAGATGTAGGGGAGGGGTCTTGCAGATATGGAAATCCAATTCTTTTACCATCTGCTCAGAGTTTTTTTCACTTCTCCATGGCCCCAGGAACTGACTCATTTTCATATTTGAGTTCTGGGATATTGCTGGTGATAATCTTGGCATTGTATATTTGTTTTTGGTTTTCTGTGGTGGCAGCCAGCTTGTGTTTACAACACCATTTTGGAACTGAAATTATGTTCAATTAATTATTAAAAATTAATTATCTTAGATTCAAACTGGTACATAGAATGCTTGCTCTACTTTCAATAATACAAGTATATATTTTGTACTATAGATATCATTAATATTGACACTTCTATCTCAAAAGCTTTTTACATCTTTGATTTTACAATCAGTGGTTAAACTGTCAACCAACTGGTAGTTCTGATGTAATTGGTATTGCCTATTCATGCATTAACTTGGTTGTAAATGTTCCATTATTATTACTGCAATTAAATTGAATCATTTGTTTAGGCCTGAAATGAAAGACAATGTACTAGAAGACCAAAAGTGCTATATAGAACACTTTTAATTTTTTTTTTGGTTCAATTAGACAAATATTTTTTATGACTTCACAAATTTTGAATTACAACCAGAAAGATCTTCCCAAAACTAAGATTAAAAAATATTTCCACAATTTTTCTTTTTATTTTTATGGTTTCATTTCTTATCCTTAAATTTATAATCTGTTCAGAGTTTATTCTGCTATTCTATCATTTTCCCCAGTGATTTATTGTATTAATCTGTTATCACATTGCTATAAATAACTACCTGAGACTGGGTAATTTAGAAAGGAAAGACTGGGTAATTGACTCAGTTCCACATGGCTAGGGAAGCCTCAGGAAACTTACAATCATGGCAGTACGGGACACAAACACATCCTTCTTCACATGGCAGCTGGAGAGAGAAGTGCTGACCAAGGGGGAGAAAGCCCCTTACAAAACTATCTGATCTCCTGAGAACTCATCACTCACTATCACAAGAACAGCATGGGGCTAATCCCCTCCACGATTCAATTACCTCTCACAGGGTTCCTCCCATATCACATGGGGATCATGGGAACTGCAATTCAAGATGAGTTTTGAGTGGAAACACAGCCAAAACATATCATTTATTATACTGAAATATTGTATTCTAAATTTGCTCATATTCATTTTAAACTATTTCTAGGTTTTCAATCATTTTCCTTTGGTTTATTCATCAATTTATGCACTGTTAACCCACTATTATAATTATTGTGGCTTAATAATAAATTTTCATGCATATCAAAGCTATTTTCCTCTCATTTTTCTTCTTTTTTCAAAATTTTTCCAGCTATACTTTTTTTCTGGAGACAGAGTCTTACTCTGTCACCCAGCCTGGAGGTCAGTGGTGCCATCTCCGCTCCCAGCAACTTCTGCCTCCGGTATTCAAACAATTCTCATGCCTCAGCCTCCTGAGTAGCTGGAAATACAGGTGTGCACCACTATATCTGGTCAATTTTTTGAATTTCTAGTAGAGACAGTATTTCACCATTTTGAAACCAGATGGGGCTGCCCAAGCTGGTCTTGAACTCCTGAGCTCAGGTAATTCACCCACCTCAGCTTCCCAAAGTGCTAGGATTACAGGCAAGAGTCACCGCACCCAGCCCTAGCTATACTTATTTTTCAGTTTCCCATATGAGCTTTAAAAGTGTCTTGTCTATTTCAGTAAACAATTCATAATGCTGAGCTACTTTACATTTAAAATTAACATGAGTTCATTGATATTGTTATAACATTGATTCTGCCTGTACAAGGACATGTGTGTGACAAAGATAGTCACCAAAATAGTTTCACTGTTGCTGCTGGAAAGTAGCTGCCCAGCTATGGACTACATTTTCCAGCCACTCTTTATCTAGGTGGGGTCATGTGACTAGTTTTTACCAGCGGAAGGTGAACAGATATATTGTGTCACTTCCAGGCCAAGGTATTCACAAAGAGGGTGTCTGTGCCATGTTCTCTTTCTCCCATCTGCAATCTGGAGGTGGACAACCAGGCAGTTCTAGGAGATAGAAAATCAACAAGATGGAAGGAGTCTGGGTCCATAAATCACTCATGGATGACCACCCTCCTACAATGGATACCTGCCTCAGATTGTTACATGAACAAGAAATTAATTTTAATATACTTACCTTACTATATATTTTAGGCTCAACTTTTTTATGCCCAGTAGCACAAATATAATTAATAGACTATCAAATTTCTTTCCATTTGTTCCATTGTTCCTTTATGTCTTTTAGAACTGCTGCAAAGTTTTTTTCCTATAGATTGTACACATTTATTATTTTTATTCATAAGTATTTTCCCTTTATAGTTACTCTTGTAAATGGAGTATTTCTTCCATTATATGTTCTAACTAGAAGTTGTTTGTGTATATGAAAGCTATGAATTTCTTATACAAAAATCAATTCAAGATGGATTAAAGACTTAAACGTTAGACCTAAAACCATAAAAACCCTAGAAGAAAACCTAGGCAATACCATTCAGGACATAGGCATGGGCAAGGACTTCATGTCGAAAACACCAAAAGCAATGGCAACAAAAGACAAAATTGACAAATGGGATCTAATTAAACTAAAGAGCTTCTGCACAGCAAAAGAAACTACCATCAGAGTGAACAGGCAACCTACAAAATGGGAGAAAATTTTTGCAACCTACTCATCTGACAAAGGGCCAATATCCAGAATCTACAATGAACTCAAACAAATTTACAAGAAAAAAACAAACAACCCCATCAAAAAGTGGGCAAAGGACATGAACAGACACTTCTCAAAAGAAGACATTTATGCAGCCAAAAAACACATGAAAAAATGCTCATCATCACTGGCCATCAGAGAAATGCAAATCAAAACCACAATGAGATACCATCTCACACCAGTTAGAATGGCAATCATTAAAAAGTCAGGAAACAACAGGTGCTGGAGAGGATGTGGAGAAATAGGAACACTTTTACACTGTTGGTGGGACTGTAAACTAGTTCAACCATTGTGGAAGTCAGTGTGGCGATTCCTCAGGGATCTAGAACTGGAAATACCATTTGACCCAGCCATCCCATTACTGGGTATATACCCAAAGGATTATAAATCATGCTGCTATAAAGACACATGCACACGTATGTTTATTGCGGCACTATTCACAATATCAAAGACTTGGAACCAACCCAAATGCCCAACAGTGATAGACTGGATTAAGAAAATGTGGCACATATACACCATGGAATACTATGCAGCCATAAAAAATGATGAGTTCATGTCCTTTGTAGGGACATGGATGAAATTGGAAATCATCACTCTCAGTAAACTATCACAAGAACAAAAAACCAAACACCGCATATTCTCACTCATAGGTGGGAATTGAACAATGAGATCACATGGACACAGGAAGGGGAACATCACACTCTGGGGATTGTTGTGGGGTGGGGGGAGGGGGGAGGGATAGCATTGGGAGATATACCTAATGCTGGATGATGAGTTAGTGGGTGCAGTGCACCAGCATGTCACATGTATATATATGTAACTAACCTGCACAATGTGCACATGTACCCTAAAACTTAAAGTATAATAATAAAAGAAAAAAAAAAGAAAAGAAAAGAAAGCTATGAATTTCTGTGTGCTATTTTTTTACTCCACTATTTTATTGAATATTCTTACTCTTTGTTGCGTATTTCTGTTTCTTACCTTAGATTATTCATCATATCAACTCCAACTTTTCATAGGTTTATTTTTTGTTTCTAGCTTTCTAATTTCTTTTCTAATTGTGTTGGTGAATACCAGCAGTAACTAATGTTACCTAGTAATTATGTAATCATGTTTAGTTTCTGACTTCAGAGGAATTATCTCTAGTATTTCCCTCATTAAACATACCGTTGACTTTGGGCTAAGATAGGTATATTTTATTACGTTGAAAATTGATATTTTTTGCTGTTTTGAGCAATAATAATTGTTGAATGTTATCAACATTTTCAGTGTCTGTTTTGCTCCTTCAGTCAATTATAATGGTACATTATTTCATTTTTCTAATACTGAGGACCTTGCATTCCTAGAAAATAAATCTATTTCCTCAGATATATGAATCTTTTAATGAGGTACTGAATTCTGCTTATTTGTGATTTACTTGGGATAGTTAATCTTCATATGTGGTATTTTTCTATAACTTTCTTTTCAGTACAGTCTTTATCAGGCTTTGACAGCAATAGTTTATTCACTTCATTAAAAATATGGATTTTTTTATTTTTGTTCTTGAAGAATTGAAATGTTCTTTAAAGATTTGATTGAATTCCTCTATATGAAAAACTGAATCTAGTGTGTTTACCTATTTCTTCTGTTCAAATTAACAAAATTATAAGTTTTATCTCTTCTGGGGTCAATTTTGATCAATTATTTTTCCTAGAAAATAACTGACTTAAATGAAATTTTCAAAATTATTTACATGAAGTTGGGTAAAACATAGGTAGATTTAAATTTTTCTATAATTATGTAGTTATTTCCCTTTTTCATTTTCTTATTTTATATATTTTGCTTACCTGTCTCTTCTCCTGAAATAGATATTTTTCTCTTTGTTTAGATTACCTGTTACCTTATTTATTCTATTATTTTGTAAAGTGCCAGCTTTTGGAAGTAGCTTAAGTTTGTGATTTTCAGTTTTCCAATTGATTAATTTCCAATTTTACTTACAATAATTTCTTCTTTATGCTTTTCCTCAGTGTAGTTTATTGCTGTTTTACTAACTTTTTGAATTGGATATCTAACTTATTTTATTCATGCATACTTATTGATATAAATATTTAAAACTGTGAATTTTCTTTTCCTCACTTCTTTGCCTATATTTTACATGTCAAGTTGTTTGAATCACTGTGTATTAATTATTGTTAAGAAATTATGATATTTTGATTATATGACATTATTGCTGGAGAAGTTGAATAAGAGAACTTTTAAAAAATCCCAGTTAGAAGGCACATTTTATTATTTGATTTTGTTGTTAAGCTTTATTCTTATTACATTGTGAAAAATGACTGTGTCTGCATTACCTCCTGGAACATATTGAGATTTTTCTCTATTGACCTATTCTATAGTTAAGTTTTTTAAATATCCCCTAGAAACATGGAAGAAATGTGCGTTCTCTATTTTCAAAGTATAGTTTGAGATACATCCATCTTATCTACCTGTGAATCATACTATTTTGTTTCCCACAATGTTCCACTTCCTCTATCAAAGATTGAAAGAGGTGAATTAAAGTCCCTTAGTGCTTGTGTTTCTTCTTTCCTTTTTATTTATCTCTTGTAATTTGTACTTTATAACGTGAGTGCCATTGGTATTTGATGTGTAGATAAGCATAATTATTAAAGACTCATGAGGTGCACACTATAGGATAAAACTGCCTTTCGTTATATTAAATCCTTATTTTTGCCTAAATTCTACTATTTTTAATGTTAAGACTCTTGCTTGTTTACTTTTTTTTCTTGTTTCTTTTCTTGTTTGTTTTATTTTGTTTCGTCAGTTTTTATCTTATTTTGTTTGGTTGGTTGGCTTTGTTTTTTGTTTTGTTGCATTTTTTAGCACAACTTTACTCAAACCTCTAATTTTCAATTTTACAGAATTACTTTGTCTTATGTTTTCTATATACCATACAGTTTGGTTTGTTTTTCTGATCCACTTCGAAATTCCTTCTTCTGAGAAATGAGTTAAGTTCCCTTCATCAATTAATATAAGAAATACGTTCATCTTATATCTACCATTTAGTTTTATGGGGTTTTTTTGGTTTTGTTTTTTGTTGTGTTTTGTTTTGTTTGAGAAGGAGTCTTGCTCTGTCACCCAGGCTGGAGTGCAGTGACACAACATTGGCTCACTGCCACCTCTGCCTCCCTGGTTCAAGCAATTCTCCTGCCTCAGCCTCCTGAGTAGTTGGGATTACAGGAGTGCACCACCACACCCAGCTAATTTTTTATATTTTTGGTAGAGACAGGGTTTCACCATGTTGGCCAGGCTGGTCTCGAACTCCTGACCTCAAGTGATCCGCCTGCCTTGCCCTCCCAAAGTGCTGGGATTATAGGTGTGAGCCACTACACCCAGCCTAGTTTTGTGTTTTTTTTTCTCTCTTTTTTCTGAGATTTTCTTTTATTGTGTAGTATTTTTTTTGCTTGAATTTTTGGGTATATTTATTCTGATATAGAAAAATGTTATGTATAATTGTACATAATCCCCTTTGTTCTTTGTTTCTTTAAACCATACATATTAATTTATTATTCTGAACAATGATAAAATTAGCACATTTCCTCTTCTCTGACCACCTATGTTTTAGGTAACAATATTATCTTTCTTAATGTTTATCTTTGTACACTTAAGTATGCCAATTCTCCTAATACCTTCGATTTTAAAAAATGGCCTTTGCCTAATATTTAGTGGAACTGTCAGCAAAACTATTCTACTACTCATCTTCTTTCTAACATCCTTCAATTGTTTGTTAGTTATAGCACTCCTACATGGTCTGAACACATGAGACTTAGAATTCATTTCTCTAATCTCCAAGTTTGTATTAGTGTTAATTCTAGAGTGAAATATATTCAATGTTTCCTGCCTTTTGTTTTAATCTTCCTAGTTATCCCTCAGCTAACATAAGTTTATCCTCTAAAAGATTCATCAGAAAGGGCTCATAAAAACTGCATTTCCTTAGTTCCTGAATATTCATAATTTTTGTACTGTTAAATTAAGTTTAGCTTAAAGCTGCCTGTTACATGTTTTAAGTTTGGCCCAAAGGTTTCTTCGTACATAGTGAACTGTAACCTAACTGGATATGTAAACTGACTATCCATTCTTGTACCAATAACAGAGTTTTGGTCAATCAAGGATGACCAACTGTTCAAACTATGTTCAAATAGGGCAAATGCCTGCTGTAATCAATCCCAGCTATTTCAGCACTTTGGTTCTGTTTTCTGTCCATAAATCCTCTCTAGCCGAGTGACAACGCCAGAGTCATTCTGAATCTATTCTGGCTGTGGGGAGAGGGATTGGCTGATTCTCAATTTGTTCTCTGCTCAGTTAAACTCTGTTAAATTTAATTTGCCTAAAGTTTTCCTTTTAATAGTCTATAGCTTGTATACTTGGACAGTTTTGCCGCATAGAAAATTCATAACATATTTTCTCTCCTTGACTTTTTTTTTTTTAAGATTTTCACTGTTACACTTTGACATGAAATTCTGCTGTAGAGGAATTTGAGAACTGACTAATTCCTTTATACGAACTTTTGAAAATGTTTTAAAATATTTACACCTCACAGATTTACTTGGTTATATTTCAGTATTGATCATTCTAGGTCTATGTTTTCTATCATGTGGTGTGAACTTTTGACATAGCTATTTAAGTCATTTTTTTTTTTTTTTAATGTAATCTCACTCTGTTGCCCAAGCTGGAGTGCAGTGGCGTGATCTCAGCTCACTGCAACCTCTGCCTCCCAGCTTCAAGCAATTTTCCTGCCTCGGCCTCCCAAGTAGCTGGGACTACAGGCACCTAACACCATGCCAGGCTAATTTTTGAATTTTTAGTAGAGACAAGGTTTCACCATGTTTTTGACCAGACTGGTCTCAAACTCCTGACCTCAAGTGATTGACCTGCTTCGGCCTCCCAAAGTGCTGGGATTACAGGCGTGAGCCACCACACCCAGCCTTTAAGTCATTTTTATTTAGATAAAATTTTATTAAATTACATTTTTTTTTTTGAGACGGAGTTCCACTCTTGTTACCCAAGCTGGAGTGCAACGGCACAATCTTGGCTCACTGCAACCTCCGCCTCCTGGGTTCAAGCGATTCTCCTGCCTCAGCCTCCCAAGTAGCTGGGATTACAGGCATGGACCACAATGCCTGGCTAATTTTGTATTTTTTTCTTTTTTAGTAGAGATGGGGTTTCTCCATTTTGGTCAGACTGGTCTTGAACTCCCAACCTCAGGTGATCAGCCCACCTTTGCCTCCCAAAGTGCTGGGATTATGGGCATGAGCCACTGCACCCGGCCTTAAATTTTTTTTTCACTTTTCCATTTTTAAAAATTTTCATCTTAGAGACACCAATTATGCCAATGTTGAATCTCCTTTGCCATTCTTTTCTAATTACAGCAAAATATATATGCCTCTACATATTTTTAAAAATTACATTTATTTTTACAATTTCTCTCATTTCTTCCTCTATGTCCTTTATTGTGTTTTTCATGAAACATGTCATCCACTGTGTTTCTTACAATTTTGTTTTCGTTTCTTTGATGGCTATTTTTCTACTTTCTAAGATGTGACCCCTCATACTTTGTGTTCTCATATTATCTTGCCATCTCTTTCTTGCATTCTTACTTTTTTTTTTAATTCTTTATTTGTAGAGGTGATACTTTGTGTATGTTTTTCTTTCAATGTGCAGTAAAATATTTGGTCACAATGTTTTTCTACTCTATGGAAACATTTTTTTCCAGTCAATATTCATCCTTTGTTAGCAGTTTTGATGCTCTTTTGCTTCATTTATTCTTAAAGTACCTTTATGTTTATTTAGTACTTGGTCTCATTTTTCTTGGTTATCATTGAATCCCTGGGCTGGCTATTTGCAGGAAGCCCTTTTAATCTGGGGAGGAGTGTTCTTTATGGGAGAGGGGCTGACTAGCAGATATTTACAATGCAATCTGTGATGCTGCAGAAAAGATAAATTCTTGCAAATGTGGCTCATAGGTACAATTTTTTTCATTTTTTAAATTTAAGTTTTAATGTGTTTCAAAAATTGACAGTGTAAGCATCATGTACAACATTAATGTTTTGAGGTATACAGACATTCTGGAATGCTTACATCTAGCTAACAAATTTATTACCTCACATAGTTATCATTGTTGTGGTGACAACACTTATCCACTCTCTCTGCAGTTTTTGAGACTATATCGTCATTAACTATAGCCACCTTGTTGAAGGTACAATTCTGGATGAGGTCCCTGTCCCCTGCTTTCCTCTACCAAATTCATTCTGTGACAGCTTCTGCCAGCATCTCTGCTTAAACCTGTTCCCACATCCAGTGTCGTAAACAAAGAATCTAGTATCTGCTCTCCTGGGCATATCTCTCACCTTCAGGAAATGCTGGTACATTCTGAAATAGCTGCCCCCCTACCCCCACTTCTCCATGGCTCTGCTCTTCACTTCTTGCATCATTTCTTCCTGCTCTCAGTCACTTTTAGTAACCCTTAACACATTCTTTTCAGATCTGGTGAATTATATATGCTTAGATTTTTTTTAATTTTGAGGAACGGATTTTGATATGTTCCAAAATGATAACAATAAATGTCAGTTTATAAAGTCCTATTCATTCCGGGGCCTATAGGATAGCCTTTTAACCAAATCCTCTATCTCCTTTCTCTGCCCCCCGTCAGTCCATCTTATATGTTGGCATTATGTGCTAATCTTTTGAAACACAGGTCTTTCTAAAGATCAGCTTATCTGTCTACTCAAAAGTATGTAGAATCCTACTGAACTCAAACTCTTTTTTTTTTTTTTTTTTTTGAGACAGAGTCGCTCTGTCGCCCAGGCTGGCGGGCAGTGGCGGGATCTCGGCTCACCGCAAGCTCCGCCTCCCGAGTTCACGCCATTCTCCTGCCTCAGCCTCCCGAGTAGCAGGGACTACAGACACCCACCACCTCGCCTGGCTAATTTTTTGTATTTTTTAGTAGACACGGGGTTTCACCGTGTTAGCCAGGATGGTTGCAATCTCCAATCTCCTGACCTCGTGATCCGCCCGCCTCGGCCTCCCAAAGTGCTGGGATTACAGGCGTGAGCCACCGCGCCCAGCTGAACTGAAACTCTTTAACCTGCCATGCAAAGCTGCCTGACATATGGCTCTCACCTAAGCTTGCAGCAGCCTTGCTCACTATGTCTGCTCTCCTACTCTGTGTTCCCCATTCAGTCTCTTCTTGCAGACTTCTTTATTTTGTGCTTGCCATTTCTTAATGCAAAAATCTCTTCCTCTCCTTTTATCTTTATATGAATACATCCTACCACTGAACCCTCAGCTGAAATAATTTTTGTCTTGCTCTATACTTTTCCGTACTTACCGTAGAGTCTTTGTCTTTTCTCTGACATTATCGTGATATTCACATTTATTGTCTTTTCTCCTACCACAAAGTCTCCAGAGAAGACAATCCTGCCTGATACATCTTAGTTTCCCACAAAACATTCAGCACAATGAAAATACTCCATAAATATTTTCATAAATATTTGCATAAACATGTGCTGAATGCATGGACACAGGGCAGGGAACATCACACACTGGGGCCTGTTGGGGGGTGGGGGGCTGGGGGAGGGATAGCATTAGGAGATATACCTAATGTAAATGACGAGTTGATGGGTGCAGCAAACAAACATGGCACATGTATATCTATGTAACAAACCTGCACATTGTGCACACGTACCCTAGAACTTAAAGTATAATAAAAAAAAAAAAATGTGTTGAATGAATGAGGTCACTCTCAGTATTTAATAAGAATAAAAATAAATACTGCCTTAAAGATTAATCATTCTGCTGGGCTTCGGGGACATCATCCTTCTATACTGTAAGGAACTGTCATCTTACTGTGATTTTGTCTTTTCATGAAATAGAATTTTTAAAGGAACCACCTATTACTGAGGGTGCCAATTAATTGAGCTCCAGCTATCCGAGGTTTACCAGGTCTACATAGATGATCTATTACAGAATTCCCTTCCCACTTCCCCGGTCATGCCCTCTCCTGCCCTGCCTGATTCCTAATCCTGTCAAAGCCTGACCTAGGTCTATCCTTCCCTGAACGCTTCCCCAGCTGTAGGGAATTAATATTGAGTTCTGCTTGTGCGAGGCACTGTTGTATTCCAAGACACAGGGATAGGTTTTCCTATGAACTCTCAGAGCAAATTTGTTGACATGATGTACTTAGCAGAAACTACCTTTTGTGTTACTGGATTGACTAAATTTCTTATCGTCTCTAGTAGACTGGATTTTTCCTTGAGGAAAGGGATGATATTGTACATCTGTTATTTTAAACCCTAATAACTGGATCATATCCAGTAGTATTACTATAAGGCTTCCAAGCACCTCAGTCAGCTCAGCCCTACAGGTAGCTTCTTCAGAGACAGCCACCATGTAAAACCCAGCCACAGCATCTCACACACATACCAGTTCTGATATCCTCCTTTAAAGACAAGCCTGCCACCAGCTGTTTTCCTCTGAGCTTTGATCGCTAAGCCTCAGGGTGGGTGAGCATTTTTTGAGGCTGCCAATCCAAGCTTTGTCCACCATGTAATGGACATGAATACTGAACTGGTGTTGCTGTACTGGGTTCTAGTAAACAAAGGGTATCAGCTGGTCACACCATTCTGACCACGATGAGGACCAGGAAAAAATAAAATGGCAGAATTTATCCCTAAAGCAAGTGTGTATATGTGTGTGTGTTTCTGTGTGTGTGATAAAATAATGACCCCCCCACCGCCCCCCCACCCGACAGGTTATAATGCCTATCCTTGTATAGTGTTGCTTGCCAAGGTCCCAGAGGGAAAGAATAAGTTGTAATTGTACAAAATTCAATAGAACCCCAAACATGACAGTACACGAAATCTGCACATGAATTAGAAAGCATAAGTCATGTGCGTTCTCCGGCGGCGGTAGCAGGGCAAATTTTCCCATCAATGAAAGTAAAAATAAAGCTAAGCTATGAGCGCCACCTCGTGGAGAAATCTCTCACTGCACTAACCTCTTCCACTGAGGGGCCAGGTGGAAATGCCAGGGGCGGGGTGCACCCCTGGATGTGATCATCTGCTGTTGCTCATACTCCATCTCACCCACGACATTAGGCCACTTCCTTGGCACACAGGGAATTGGGGGTAGTTGCCTTAGTCCTCGCCCTCTGATGTGAACAGCAGTTGATACAAGACAGTGACACCGGGATAGCTGGTGTGATGCTGTTAGCTGGTACAACAAAAACAAAAGCCCTGATGCACACTCATGAGTATATGTACCATTCACACACTCATACAGAGGACCCCGATGCACATTCATGAGTGTATGTATTACTCACACATTCATACAAAGGACCCCGATGCACATTTATGAGTGTGTGTATCACTCACACATTTATCCATAGGATCCCGACGCACATTCATGAGTGTGTGTATCACTCACAGACTCATACATAGGATCCCAACCCACATTCATGAGCATATGTATCATTCACATTCATCCATAGGACCCTGATGCACATTCATGAGTGTATGTATCACTCACACATTCATACATAGGATCCCAACGCACATTCATGAGCGTATGTATCACTCACACATTCATCCATAGGACCCCGATGCACATTCATGAGTGTATGTATCACTCACACATTCATACATAGGACCCCGATGCACATTCATGAGTGTGTGTATCAGTCACACACTCATACACAGGACTCCGAGGGACCCTTCTCCCTTCCCCGTGTCCTGACAAGTGAGACGCTCTGTACTCTCCTTTTTCGAACTTCATTGCCTTTTCAGGACTTCCCTTTGCCCTTGAAGGACATTGTGACCCATGCAAATTCTGGGATGGGACTGGCTGTAAATCCTACAGCAGATAGTAGCCAGTAGGATCTGTCCTGGTACTGGCAACGTGGCAACGGTCTAAGGATATCCCTGGCAAGTTGTGTCATTCACCGAGTTTACTTTCTATCCTAGGCAGTGACATGGACTTAAATTTGTCACGCGAGTTTGAATTGCTAGTCAAGACTGAAAGAGAGGCTGGAACTGGACTCCTGGGTTCAATCTTCAAAGCGTTTCTGTCTAGCAGCTGCCATTTCAGACAAGCTCCTCGGTGAGGGAATCAATGAGACAGCATTTATCTTCCTGACAGAATGGCCCCCTGTGAGGCTGTTTGCTTTTGTGCTGGCACTGCAGCTGAGGAAGATACGGCTTAGATCCAGGCCCTGCCTCAGTGTCTTCGCAAAGGGACAGATTTTCCTCACCACAGTGACCACACTGAAGCCACTGACAGGGCAGGAGCCTTGGGGTTGCAGGTCCGGCAGCGGGACAGAGGTTCTCAGCAGAGGCCAGACTTGAGAGAGCTGCATGCTGTTCAGGCGGGAGCCTTGTCTTTGTGAGCTGGAGCTGTTGGCTGCCTGCCATTTGTACAGCCAGAAGGAGTGTGTGTCTGTGGGAAATGCATCCGCAGAGTCAGGCAGACCTGGATTACATCTTGGAGCAGATGCTACCAACCCTGTAACCTTTCTTAACTCACTTCACCTCCCTGGGTCTCATAGTTGCCATCTATACAATGGGGATAATACTGCTTCCCTCATGGGATTATTATAAGATCTAATGAATACAACAGTGCCTCGCACAAGCAGGACTCAATATTAATTCCCTACAGTTTTATCTTTGGAAAATAAGAAAACAACTATTTGTGTTTGTGTATGTCTGTGTTTATAATTTTTTGCATACGCTTAATAACAATGAAAATGTATTTCTTTGGACACCACAACTTTTTAAAACTAAAGCGCATTGTTTTATTTTAGATTATTTAAAGAAATTAGCACTTAGATACCATGTTTTCACAATTTTTTCTTTTAGTACTTTAAAGATACTATGTGATCCCTATGAAACATAAGTACAACTGGATATTTTACAAACTAGGAAATCTTTTTGCAACCAATCTTATTTGTTTTTCAGATAATACTCCATCAGTAAATAAGTCTTTGCCATTGGTAATTTTTTATTTCCTGCAAGGCAGAGTTATTTTTTCTTGGTAACAGAAACATTTATTAAACACTTAGATGTGTTAGGCAGTGTTCTGCTTTTTTGTGTTTTCTAAATTTATTTTAGAAACAAAATTTACTGTTCTTGGTATACAGTTTTATGAATGTTGACAAATGCATAGTGTCACAGACCCAGCATCACAATTGATACAGAATATTTCTATCACCTTCCACAAAAAAATTCATTCTTGCTATTCCTTTGTAGTCAACCCTCCCTCACTGTCAGCCTCTGGCAACCACTGGTGCATTCTCCACTGCTCCAGTTTGCCTTTCCCATCGTGTCATATCAGTGGAATCATACTCTATGTATTTTTGGGGTGCCTCTTCTTTCACCTAACGTAATGCATTTGAGATTCACCCATGTGGTTGGATGTATCAGTGATTCACTCCTCTTCATTGAGGGTGATGTCAGAACCAGAGTAAGAACCATGTTTCTCCATTCCCCTGTGCCCTTTTTCTAGCTTGATGCAGAGGCAAAAGCAAACTAACAGAATCCTTAAGAGGCTTATGTACAGGTGGACCATACTGAGGCTCTTCAGGATATCAAAACAAACTAAATGGTCCTTGGCTTCAGGAAAGTGATCATCCCATTGGCTGGTGGGCACACAGCCAGCTGTATCACATCAGGAAGAGAAACCAGGCAGCCTCCTACCAGTGAGGAGATGAGCACAAGTCTCAAAATAGAACACTGGCGTTTGGAGACAAAGGAAAATCACTGGATGTCAAGGGAGTCTTCATGGGGAAAGTGAGTTTACGTGAGCTTGAAAGTAGAGGAAGCTCTGGGCAGGTGGGAAGGACTCCAGGGAGAACAGTATGTGCCAAGACTGGAGAACAGGGCAGGGAATTCCCGCTTGAGGCAGATAGGATCTGGATGCAAGGAAAGAAAGGCAGTCAGTGTGGCTGGAGCACCATGAGTGGGGGGAGACTGGCAGGAAATAAGGAGGAAGCCAGAGACCAGATGAAAGGGCTATGAGGCCCCTACAAGGACTTTAGATTTACTCTGAGGGTGAGGGAGCTGCCAGAGGCGTCCGAGCAGGAGAGGAACACATCTAAGGTATTAATAAGATCACTCTGGCCATGGCTCTGTGAACACTATGAAGGAACCAGAGGCAGACTTGGGACCAAACAGGAGGCTTTTACTCAATCCAAGTGATAGATGATAATGCCAGAAATTGGAGGTAAAGGTAGTCACAGGTGATCAGAATCTGGATAGATTTTGCAGGTAGAATCAAGAGAATTTTCTAAAATAGGCAACTGGAAGTCCAGAATTGACATTGAGATAAGATTCAAGTGAGAAGACTGGAGAGGAAATCTGAGTCCAAACAGGAGGTGCTGAAGATTTGAGACCTGATCCTTACACTGAGGGAACACTGCTGCAGATTTTAAAAAGGACTCTGCATTTTTGAAAGGTCATTCTGGAAATGGTGGGGGCTGAATTAGAGGAGAGCGAGATGAGAATCAGGGAGGCCAATTAAGATGCTGTAGCTATAGCCCAGGTGGGAAAGGCTTCCCAAGAGCAGTGGCAAAGACAGGAGCAGAGGCGCCAGAATCACCAGGGAGGGAGAACTGGCAGAGCTGGCAAGTAATGGAGATATTGGGGAAGACAGAAAATGGCTTTTGGGGTATAAAATCAGTAGGTAACTTTGTACTGTGTTGAGCTGAAAATGCCTCTTAAACATCTCTTTGGAGATGTTGAGTAGAATCAGGGGAGAGGTGAGGGCTGGGAATATCAACTAGGGTGTCATCTGTGTATCAGTGAACAAGCACAGGCGCATACAAGATGGGTCAGAGAGGGAAGACAGTGAAGGCAGAGTGCCATCAGCATGCCAGGCAGAGGGCCAGGCATGCAGAGAGGGAGGTCTGGGCTTGGAATAGAAGGAAAAGAGATTCTTAAAGGTTGTTTAGGCTGGGCGTGGTGGACTTTACATTTACTCTGAGGGTGGCCAAGGTGGGCGGATAGGAGGCTGAGGTGGGCAGATCAAGAGGTCAGGAGATCAAGACCATCCTGGCTAATAAAGTGAAAACCCCGTCTCTACTAAAAATACAAAAAATTAGCCGGGCGTGGTGGCGGGCACCTGTAGTCCCAGCTACTCCAGAGGCTGAGGCAGGAGAATGGCATGAACCCAGGAGGCGAAGCTTGCAGTGAACTGAGATGGCACCACTGTACTCCAGCCTGGGTGACAGAGTGGGACTCCGTCAAAAAAAAAAAAAAAAAAAAAAGGGTTGTTTAAAGGATGACTCTCTAGCCTGAAGAGTGAAGACAAAAAGTTCCAGTTTAAATCTTGGACGACTTCAAGGCTGATGTTACCTTACCGGAAGTAATTATTAATGGATTTTTGTTTAAATTTCTCTGCAGACAATATAGATAGAACTGGAGGTCATTATGATAAGTGAAATAAGCTAGGCAACAAAAAGACAGACTTTACATGTTCTCACTTATTTCTGGAAGTTAAAAATCAAAATAATTGAACTCATGGAGATACAGAATAGGATTGTTACCAGAGGCTGGGAAGGGTAGTGGGTGGCAGGGTGGAGATGGATGGCTAATCGATACAAAAAAATAGAAAGAATGAATAAGATCTAGTATTTGATAGAACAACAGGGTGACTATAGTCAACAATAATTTAATTGTACATTTAAAAATAACTAGAGAGTATAATTGTATTGTTTGTAACAAAAGGATAAATGCTTGAGGGGATGGATACCCCATTTACCATGATGTGATTATTATGCATTGCATGCCTGTATCAAAGTATCTCATGTACCCGATAAGTATATGTACCCACTATGTACCAACAAAAATTAAAATTTTAAAAAAGTAAAATAAATTTCATTGCAGTATTTTTTAAATAACTGATGAAAGTACGTGCTTTATATTACCAAAAAGGAATTTATTAAATATTTTTGCCTTAGTGGAAAGAACCCAAAATTTTGTCTCATGGTATTTTATCGTCAAAAGGTGATGTCCGTTTAACTCCAGGGCCTGAAAATCTCCTACTCCTCTGCCTTCCTCGTGTATCTTGAACAGTCCAAATCTATAAACTGGCTCTAATTGTTTCGAAAGTGGGCAGCAGGCAGAGTTGGAATACATTCAAATTCAAATGCCCAAGTTCACCTTCCTGCTTTAATGAATATAATTGAATATTTCAGCTTTGATCATGATTTGTAAGGCCACAGGGTCATCATCCTAAATATCAGTGCTCTTTGTCCCCCGCAGAGAGAGACAGATGACTGAAGATGGCTGTTCCACTGAGTCTAGCACTTGCACACACAATTGTGGACTATTTGGCTTATACATTTTTAAGAATTCCCTTTGATTAATACAAGCAAATCCTTGTGGTCTAATCATTTCCCAAGGGGATGCAAATTCTTCCAACTTGGGTCTCTTCCTCCTAATGGAGGAGCCTCCTCAAGACAACGAGCCTTGTCTCTAGGATTGGTCTGCTTATCATCACCACCCAGACCGGACGCCTGAGAGCCGTCTTCTGTCTCGCCAACATCCACCCCATTCACCAGCTCTGCCAGTTCTCCTTCCTCGGTGACTCTGGCCCCTCTGCTCCTTTCTATCCCCCTTTGCCACTGTTCTTGGGAAGTCTTTCCCACCTGGGCTATGGCTATAACATTCTAATTGGCCTCTCTGCCTCTCATCTAATTCTCTTCTAACCCAGTCCCCACCATTTCCAGAATGATCCTTCAAAAATGCACAGTCCTGTTTAAAATCTGCAGCAATTTTCAATCAGCTGGAAGATCAGGTCTCAAATCTTTAGCACCTCCTGTTTGGATTTGGTTTTCCTCTCTAGTCTTCTCTTTCATCAAAATCCTAACATCCTTCAGAACTCGTAATTATAAAAATGCTTTTAGTTTCCCTAAACAGCTTCATTCCCTCTGTGCTTTTATACAAATGCTCCCTATGCTTTGACCAAGCTACAGCCTCTCCCATCAATGATCTTCATTATTTTTCAAGATTCAACTCAAGCATCAGTTTCATTGGCTTGTCTTCCCGACTATCTCCACCAGTGCTAGACTGGGTGCTTCTATCCTCCTCACTCCCATAGACTCCTACCTTCCCTCCATCCCCTTATCCTGCTGAATCATAACTTTTAGACTTATGCCTTGCAACACACATGTGCCCATGTGCACATGCACACACATATATAATAATGAATCCTTTACCCATTTTATTCCATGTACCTAGCGTAGTGTTGCATGGTACAGTAAACATTAACAAAATCTGAATTAAATTAATAAAATAATAAGCTTATTAATGTATGAATGAATAAATTAAGGTTTGAGGTTTATTGGGCCCTGACCATGTGAGATGTTAATATAAGGAGCTAAATGCATATAGCAATATATTTCCTCTTTAAATCCTTTAAACAGCCATTCATTTTTTCCCTCTCCACAAAGGCCTTTCATTTAAAACTTCCCACATAAGAACTTCTATCAATTGAACAAAGCCAGAACCCATGGCAGAGGTATATAAACTCTACCCATTAACAACCAATGGCATTAGCAGCTACTTTTATACCAACACTTTTAACTCTTGGAACAAACTGACTTCAATAATCTTTTCTAATCCAGACTTTTCAAAAGTCAAGACATTTGTCTAGTACATACCTGTACAGAAGCCTCAAAGAGTAAGCGCTTTCCAAAAACCCTTCTTCACCACCAGGGACTATTGAAACATGTGGAATGCTAGTGCAAAGGAAATAGAACCAGAGGGTCCACCTCACTTTGGCACAGAGCCTGACCTACTCAAATGCTGAGAAGAGCTTCATGGTGCAGTATGATTTAGAGAGGCTTTGGGAAGGCCTTCCTGTTTCAACATGTCTCCCCACCCAAGGACCACAATCTTTGATCTCCATCAACAGAAACATCCCCCTTGAGGTTCCACATTCATCTTTATTTTATTTTATTTTATTTTTTTTTTTGTGAGACAGAGTCTCACTCTGTCGCCTAGGCTGGAGTGCAGTGGTGCAATCTCGGCTCACTGCAACCTCCACCTCCCGGGTTCAAGCAATTCTCCTGCCTCAGCCTCCTGGAGTAGCTGGGATTACAGGCACACACCACCAGCCCAGCTAATTTTTTAATTTTTAGTAGAGATGGGGTTTCACCATGTTGGTAAGCCTGGTCTCGAACTCCTGACTTCGTGATCTGCCCACCTCAGCCTCCCAAAGTGCTGGGATTACAGGTGTAAGCCACTGTGCCTGGCCCACATTCATCTTTCTAATAGCAAGTGTTCCTAGGAGGGGCAGTAAGGCAAACTGCTACCACCCAACACATGAATCACTCTCTCCAGAACAAGAGGTCCCTCATGTAGCCCAAGGGTACAATGGGAACTTGGAACAGAAAGAAAAGACATAGAAAGGGCTGCAGGCCACCACAGTTACACCTGACTTACCTTCACAGCCATGCTTGTCCTGGTTCCCTTGCCGTCTGCTTTTATTGGTGTGGGTGTCCTTGGATTAAAGAAGTTCTCTACAGTGGCCTTTCCACCCCCACTAAGCAAAAAGGACTGAAGATTGTTGGTTTTATTATTTTTGTTGTTGTTCTTATTGTTTTGTCTTGAAACCCCAACTCTCCTATGACTTCTACAGGGACCTGGCCAAAGTCTGTGTCTGAATAAGATTTCAAAACCATGTGAATCAAACCACATGAGAAATTTTCCAGCCTTGCTGAAATATGTGCATCCAATGACAAATGAAATGGCCTCGTGATCCCTTTCAAAAGCATGATTGTTCTCAGAGGTTCCATGAAACTGTCATTTCCCCCCTAGAAGGCAGAGCAAACCTGCTTTTCAGGAAATGATACTACCCAGTTTATAAGTACATGCAACTCGGCTGCAGTCTCCAGGGTGTCCAATGAAGATGATTTGCACTGATCTCCAATAATGCCCATGAATAATGCACATTTCAAACATGTCCTGAATAACAGTTTAAATAGAAAGAGATGGTGTTATGTCATGTCTTCCAGGGGATGGGTTCAAAGTGCACAGCAAACAAATTAAACAGATGAAGAAAGCAGGGCAGAGGGGGAACTCATCAGAGAAATGCAGCATTAATGAAGGGATGTGCTCAGTGGGAAGAGGCTCAAGGTAGCTGAGGCAGTGGTCTTGCAAAAGGTTTTGGCAACAATAAGGCACTAACTGCATCAGTGTGATGTTTGATAAGGCCACCATTGAAGCAAGCAGTTCTTGACAAGGCAGGATCTGGGGAGGCAGGGAGCACATGGCAGGGGAGTGGAAGGCATATGCTCTATCAGAAAGGATTAAGAGCGACCCCCAGGTGACCTTTAAATCCTAGGAAAAGCCTACCAGCCACTTAGCGTGCTGGGATTTCTCCTGACTGCTTGTAGAAGCTATCAAAGTTTGCTGGGTGGCTTGGATTATCAAAATTGACCCACCTGCTCTCTCTGATGCAAAATCACTGCTCCCGGTGGAAGGCAGGTATGTAGTAGCACCACTGGTGTCACTGAAGCAGTGTGCTGTACCTATGCTCAGGCGTTTGCCCTGTCAGTATTTATCATGGCTTCCTGCAAGCCCACCTCCAGCCACCATGAGAGCTAGGCTACCTTTGGCCTTAAAATTAACTTGCTCAAATGCCCACAGATGCTATGTTCAAGAAGGGCATAAAGAGTAAGCAAAACAAAAAAATTATTACTAAAACAATAGTAAAGCAAAGAGCCAAAATGGATTCAGTCACTTTCCCTTTGGTTTTCCAGGTCAGCTTTGAGTTGTCGCCCGTGATGAAAGGAGATAGGGTTGGGTGTTATGCAGATACTGAATGCCTACCTGTAAGCCAGCAGACTCAGCCAGGTGCCAGGATACAAGCAGGTGCCTGGCAATGGGTAGAGAGTGATTCTCAAGTGCTCTAGCCAGGTTCCCTGCCCAGGAGTTTAGCACAGGTCAAAAAGAGGAGAGAGTGACCAAGTACAAAAACCAGATGTTCATCGCAGGCAAGGAATAACAGACGGTACTAGATTCCAAGAGAAGCCTCTCAGGAATCATGTGCCCCTAAACCTCAAAGAAAAAAAGTAGGACCCCTGACATATACTAGAGTTCTGACTCAAGCCTATGAGAAGGCTGATCACTCTTTCCTGAGTTCCCTACTCAGGGTGTGTCCAGGACCCAAGAGGAAGGCAGAACCCCTCAGTGCTCAAAGCCAGAAAGCAGAGCCAGGTAGAGAATGACATCTTCTAGAGAGTTCACACCGGACCAAGGAGCAAGCGTTTCTGAGCAGGTGCCCAGGGACATCACTCTGCTAGGGGCTGGAGATAAAGTTCTGAGTCTCAGGAGAATGACTTCTTCAAGACAGTTTACACTGGACAAAGGAGCAAGTGTTTCTGAGCAGGTGCCCAGGGACAGCACTCTGTTAGGGGCAGGAGATAAAGTTCTGAGTCTCAGGCTTAAAAGCAAGTGAAGGAGACAGCAACAAAACAACACAGAGAATTGCATAATGTTAGCTGCAGCATTTGTAGGAGCACCTCAAAAACAGCCAGTCACAATGCAGGGTTTTGATTCCACAACTACCAGCCAGAATTTCAGTATCCACTAAAAGCCTTTGATTGTGGGTCCCGAGGAAGCATTTGCTGTGATAACGGGTATTCAGACATTTCGATTAATGACTGGCTCCCATGCTGTGCCTAATCCCCATTCTCAAACAGAGGCAGGTGAATTTCTTATCTTCTGGTGGGAAGAGGCAGTGAGGAAGTGACTGATTTGTAACCATTTAGACTTTCTCCATTCGGCTCCTTGTGACAGTACAGACCAACTGAAAAGCACTGTTTTCATTACCTCCCAATTACCCACATGTATATTGTTGAATTTTTGGATCCCACTCATCTTGTTATCTTGTTTAGTCCATTCTGACTGATGAGATATCTCATTACTCTACTTGTAGGTAAGAGTAAGAGAATATAACAGCAGTTCAACAATATATATTTATAACCAAGTGCCCCCATTTTTTTCTAAGAAAAAATGAATGAGTTACTTTTTTAAAAATTATTATCTCTTCTTTTCTCCTTTCCCCTTTCGCCCTGTTCTCTGCTTCCTACTTAGCCCTTTAGAAATGCCAATATACCCTTTCACCTCACCTTCACCAGATATTCCCTATAGGGCAAGTTCATCTAACTCTGTGCTCCAAGAGAGATCTCTCCTCTGGAGTTGACAGTCGATTTGCAGAACAAAGCGTACCCACCATCGAACTCTCACCCTCCAGGGGGGTGCCGCAGGACTTTCACCCACCAGGAGGGCATGTTGAAAGCATGCCCACTTGGCCACTTTTACAACTTATTTCTTCCCAGGAAGGTGCCAGCTCAACTGCCCAATAGATAAGGCATCAAGCTAGCATGGGGACACCCTGTCCTTGCTCGCTTCCTCCTCCACCTTATAAAAGTGCCCACTTTATGCTCCAAAAGCAAAGTGGCACATTTAAGGCAGGACATCTGTGTCTCTTCCCCTGGGCTAGCTTCAGAATAAATCACTTTTTTATACCACACCTTGCTCTTGTTCACTGGACTCTGCATGCAGCAAGCAACTAACCTGCTGTTCAGTTATATATTCAATGTGGACTGTTAGGCACAGCACCAGGTACGGGGTATGAGCAAGACAAGCAGTTCCCTACCACTAGGAATTCACAGGCCAGAGGCAAAGGCAGGCATGAAATAAGTAATATGAATACAAGTGGTATAGAGAGAAAGCACAAGATGCATGCAGTAGCATTTGGAAGAATATATAATATTAATCTAACTTTTATTGTCCCATTTTTACTTTAAAAAAAAGAAAAAAGGATTCAAAGAAGGAAGGAATGGAAAGAAGGAGGAAACGAAGGAAGAAAGGGAGGAGAAAAAATTTTAAGACAGGCATAAGGGTAAGTGGCAACTTGCACCTGACATTAGTGACAAAGAGTTAATAGGGAGTGGTGAGGACTGTGGTAAACCTAAAGCTTATCCCAGATCTAAAGGAAATTCCTTTAGCTAATTGCTTCCAAGTACAATGGCAGGACTGTTATTTCCAGATCTTCCATTAAGGAAAAAAAAAAAAAAAAACCTCAAATTCTGATTTGTTTTAGGTGAACTTTCCTGAATTACAGATGTTGACTGATATTTAAAAATTAATAAATTATATGCAGGCCAAACCAAACACCCCAGCAGGCAGGTATCAACCCTTCAGGAGCCAATTTGCAATCCCTGCTTTAAATGCTCTCATGGAAGGTTATGGATCTCAGAGTGTGGTGCCAGACAAATCCCATTGTTTCAGACCCTGCTCTTTCTCCACAGCATGACAAATGTCTCACACCAATTTCACATTCCTTATGTGTTTCTGCGTACAAACTGCTTTAGCATTTTACCTTAGCTTTTGCTAAGTCAGAAAACTATCTTTTGGGTAGGACATTGGACTAAGTAACTTCGAAGGTCACTTCTGAATCCCATTGATAACCCATATCTTGAAATTAGGAGAATAATGACAGAACAAGGATAGAGCCAAGAATGCATTATGTGCTTCATTTCCAGTGAGTTCATTTGTGTTGTCTGCTTTGAATTACTCACAGTATTGTTATAGCAGGTAGCTAGCCAGCCTATGAGGAGGGCAGGAAAGGGCTCCTCCATACCCACACCAGGAAAGTCAGGTGACCATCAGGTGCTGGTCAGGCGGTTGTTAACTATCTCTATAAAATAATAATTGGTGACAGCCAGCGTCAGAGAAAGGCAGTCTCCCTATACAGATAAAAAAAACACCGGTAACTGTTGATCGGCAGCTTTCAGGAGTTGGGCGAGTGAGCTCGAGCATGCGCATTAACAGACGATACGGCAGCACAAGACCTTCTGGGGGCACTCCACCGGAAAAGGGAAGAAAGCCTCAGGTGAGCATGCGTACACCTCCTCAAACACACTGTGCATGCTCACCTCCCAAGCACAAGGAGGACATTGCACATGCAGGCGGTCCACCCTAAGGGAAGAATCATGGGAAAAGGGACACTATACCCTGGAAGTATGCCAATATATAAAACCCCAAGTCAGAAGGTCAAACGCTACACTTGACCTCCAAAGTGCCCAATTGGGTCTTTTCCGAGTGTACTTTGTTTATCCCCTGCTCTAAAGCTTTTTAATAAACTTCCACTCCTGCTCTGAAACTTGCCTTGATCTCTTTTTCTGCTTTATTCCCCTCAGTCGAATTCTTTCTTCTGAGGAGGCAAGAACTGAGGTTGCTGTAGACCTGTATGGATTGCCACCAGTAATCAATAAACTTATTGAATCCTAACAGTATTCAATCATTTTATTTATATAGGAAAAATTATCACCTGTTTATCTCCCCATCCACTTTTTCTTTATGCTCGTGCTAGAGATTATAGACTTCCCTGATAACTAAGGGCATTTTTACTTTGCTGACCAACCATAAACGTCCCGCATAGGGTGAACAAGTACAAAATAGGGCAGGATGTGTGCCCAGAGCACCATATCTACCATGTGTCAGGGTGGGCTCTGAAGTGGGGATAGTTTTTTTCAGAAATTTACCATTTAGCCAGAGAGAGAAAGGATCTTCTGATGAAAGTGTTAGCAGATAAGCCAGTGCTTACTTAGGGACAAATAAAGCTGAGACAGGGCTGAGAGGTGCTGCGGAGGTGGAGTATTTTTCATAGCAGAGGTGGATTGAGCTGGGCCCCTGGGGAGGTGAGTCATATTTGAAAATGCTGAGGGGAGGAAAGCAGGTGACATACAAGTCATTTCCCTCTTTTGATTTTTAGGTTTTAACTCCATTCGGCAGCCTGAGAGAATGCAGTCAGGAAAGGTGTGGGAAAGACACTGAAGGGCAGGAAAGGAGAACCCAGGACAACCCAGGCCCAGCCTTGTTTTCTACTCTCTGCCTCAGGCCCCAAGACCATGTGGCCAGGGTGCAAACCATGCAGTATCTGCATAGCGAACAGTACTGTAAGCCAAACTGTTAGAATATGGGCCTCTGCTCTTTGTGTCCCTGCTACCTGATTTACATATCTCTGGGCTGCAAGCAGAAGCCCCAGGTCTACCATGCTCGGCTTTGAAGCCTTCCCTCAGGCACCCTCTGCGAGAAGACCCTGCTGGCTGGACTTGGCTCCCAGCCATGGCCAGGCCAAGGAGCAGAGGGGAGACAGGGGAAGGCAGAGGATGCCTAGAAGCCTCAGCCCTCTCCTCCTATTTGCCTGAAGGTCGGGAGGCCACTTTCCTGAACCAGTACAGGCAAAACAATGAAAGCATCTGCAGGCAGAGGCAGCACAGCGGGGTGTGCGGAGAGTCACAATGGGGAGGCGGAGTGGGGAAGGAAGAGAGAGAAGGCTGGAGGGAGATCCCATTTGGAAATAAGGAGAAGGCTTTGAACTTGCAGATCTCTCCAACTGAGGCAAAACCCACACTAAACCAGCCCCAGCTGGGTGCCGCAGGAGACTGTGAATAAATCTGAGAGGGAGAATGAGATGACAGTTCCCCCTTCTTAATGCATTCACCCCAAGGTGCTGCTGGGCATCTGTTCCATAATTAACCAGACTCTCCCCTCCACCAACCCCTCCTTCCCCTTCACCTCCTCCTGTGGCTGCTCAAACATTTGCCATAATTATTCCCCCGCCCCACTTTTCAAAGGAGCCCTCTGGAAGGAGTTTGCTGCCTGGCTCTTATTTCTTCCTCCACCTCCCCAGTTCTGGGCAGGGTGACAGCCATCCTTGGCTAGAAGGGGTTTGTGAGCATCCCACTTCCCAGAGGCCACTGCGGTATCCCATCCTCCTCACCCCAGCCAATCAGTGGAACATCTGTTCTCCCCTCAGTGAGGCTCAGTGCGGCAGGAAGGCGGAAGGGCATAGCAGGGTATCCGGGTGGGCCATTTTCCATCAGCATGTGATCTCTACCTCCCTCCCCCATGATCTGATATGAAAATCACAGCAGTAATGAAAACTGATGGGACAATGTGGTGCATAGAAAATCCTGAGAACTTCTTTCCAATAACAGTATTATATTATGAGTGATAATAATACATATTTTAAATGGAAGATCACAGGAAGTTGTCTGGTTATTGTTTATTCTCAGCCTCTGTGGCCACATGTAACACATACTGGGCGTTCAATACATAATTGTTGAAGACATGGATCACTGCTTTATCAAGTACTTTACAAAAGTTGTCTCTACACACAATACTCATGAGAAATAAGTAATAGAATCCCCACTTTAAGGTGAAGAAAATTGAGGCACAGAGAGGTTGAGCAACTTCCCCAAGGTCACACAGCTAGTAAGAGACTAAGTCAGGATTTGAACACAGACCAATGACACCATGCCCATGGTCTTTCTGTTATTCCGTGCTGCCAGGCCACCTCCCTGCATGAAACATTTCAAGAGGAGGTCCCTGATAATGGATTTGCTGTTTCCTCTAGCTAAAGTGTCATATTACTGACACCCACTCATCGCTCAAGTTCAAAGACTCAGTGAAGACATCTACTGATGTGTCTTTTATTGATGAATCTTTTATTAGCATGAATCATATTTTGCTAATAAATATGATTGCTAATAAATGATTTGCTAATAAATATGATTGCTAATAAATATGATTGCTAATAAATATTAGCAAAATCATATTTTGCTAATAAATAGTGATATTGATATCACTATTTCATATCACAAATATTTAGCACATGGTAGATATTCAATAAATGTTTTTTAATTTCTATTTTACAGATAACATTCCTAAGATTCAGAGATGGGACTAACTTATTCAAGACCATACAACTAGGCTATGTAAGAACTACAACTTATATCAAGAGCTTTTGACTATGAGTACAGGAAGCTTTCCAGTAACCCATCAACCACTGAGCTGCATGGTACATAATTTCATTCTATATTAACAAATGAAGTTCTATAATTGTGGTGATTTCTATTTTTTTCTGACAGCTTCTTAATATATATGACCAACTAGTAATCACAAACTTGACTTATTTCAGTTTTTATCATAATAAAAGTAATATGTTTATTAGAATATTACAGAACAATGAGAAAAAATTAAATCAATACTCTCAAACATTTAAAATTAATATTTTCCTGTGGTCTGTTTATGCCTTTTTAAATCATTGAGATCTTAGTCTTGGAATCCTGCTTTTTTAAAACTAAATATTATAACATAAACATTTCCCTATTCAATAATTTCCCTATTTACTACTTAAAATCATCATTTAATATGCCTTGATAATTACTTTTTAATGACTAAAAAATATCTACCATTTGGAATGTCAATGAATCATTGTCCCCCAATTGCTGGACAATTTTTGCTCTTAAAATAAATCATAGTACAGGGCAGGTGTGGTGGCTCATGCCTGTAATCCCAGCACTATGGGAGGCTGAGGTGGGCAGATCACCAGGTCAGGAGTATGAGACCAGCCTGGCCAATATGGTGAAACCCCATCTCTACTAAAAATACAAAAATTAGCCGGGCATGGTGCAGCACACCTGCAGTTCCAGCTACTCAGGAGGCTGAGGCAGAAGAATTGCTTGAACCTGGGAGGCAGAGGTTGAAGTGAGCAGGATCACACCACTGCACCCCAGCATGGGCAACAGAGCGAGACTCCATCTCAAAAAAAAAAAAAAAATTATAATACAAAGCACATTGTTTTCTTTCTGAATTTCAGAAAACTTTTTGGAATAGTTTTCTAGGAAAGAAATTATTGAGTCAATGGCTATGAACATAGAATGGCTCTTAACATAGATTGCCAAATTGCTTTCCAAATGAGTTGTACTAATTTTTGTTCCTACTAACAGTGATTTGGATATTCCCATCACTTTAAATTTGCTAATTTCTTTAAAACACACACATTTAATCACAATGTTTTGAATTGCAAAATGAAAGAAATTTTAGAGATGATTTAGCTGGCCTCTTCTACTACCTCTTTTATACATTAGGCAACTGAGGTCCAGCCAGTTCAATGGCTTGCTCAAAGTCACAAAAACATGGAGGGATGAGCTGAGCTAGGGCCAGGTCTTCTGACCCCCACTTCTCTGCACTATCTCCCAGGTATCTGAAAATCATTTTGGAGCCTATTTATCTGCTCAACAGAAGTGTTGCAGAGTTGCCATCACTTGATGTCTTAATTTGGATTATGCCTTCAGGGAACCAGCTTTTGAAATATCTGGACCAGACAAGTAACAAATTTCCCCACCATGGTGAGAAAAGGGTATTTCCTGATAACACTCTTCTATCTGCCAGGGTTCTGCAGGGAACCTTGTGTCTACTTATCACTTCTTGCTGGCTCAGGTTTCCGGAACTCTGTTAGCCCTGCTTGACATTCACCTTGGCAGCTTTTACTGCATCCTTCCTGTGAGCTTCTGCTTTCCCTGTCCCTGCTCAGCACGATGGCAGCCTACCTCATTTTCAACCTCAGGCCAAGCAGGAGTGTTGCTCCTGCCCATCTGCCATGTTGGCCAAATTTCCCTGATTGCTAAGTAATTCCAGGCTCTTCTCAGGAGGACTGAGTGAGCTGCAAGTTAAGCCTCTCCTCCAAGGCCTTGCCTGGTTCTCAGTCATTATCAGAACTATAGTGGGGGTATGCAGATACTCTTCCTCCACCGGGGGCCAGACGCCCACTTTGGGCTGGTTGCTCCCTCAAAATATAGCCTGCACAGTTCTATGGGAGGCAGAATGTATACATCACCAACATAGCATCCTAGGTGACTTTCATACCCAGCTTCTAAACCATGTTATGCCATGGCCATGCAAACCCTTCTAAAATATTGCTCACATCGACTTGTCTCTACTTAGAAACCTATCCATTACTATAAGACAAAATGGCTAGCTTGGCTTTTAAGCCCCTTCCTATATATAACATTTGTCTGCCACTAGTTACTCCTAGCTCATTGTATGCCAGCCCAGAGAGAAAAGGTATACAAAGAAAGATGAGAGTCCGAATGAAATGAGAGAGTTACAGGCAAAGTGAGGATACGATTCAGCCTGGTTGTAGAAAAGAAAGCATGTTCTGGGAATAGTAAGGGGGTTGTGCTGCCTACTTTGCCTAGAATGTTCTTTCTCATCTTCTCCCTGGTGGACCACTCATTCTTCATAGCCCGTCCTTATGCCACCTCTGAAGCTTTCCATAACCTACCCTGCCTCCAAACTTCCATTGCTTTCCTGACTAGTCCTAAAGCTCCCAGTCCATACCTCTGCTATGCCATTTTCCACACTAAAATAACACATTTTGTAAATGCCTTACTCCCCCACAACTAAATATGCAGAGTATTTTTTTAACATGGGCCTATGTCTGTTTATCTTTTTTATCCCTAGTGTCTAGTACTTCTCTTGCAATGGGTGAATGACCAAAACATGCGTAAAAATAATGAAAACAATATGTAAGTCAGGATTATTGCTGGATGGAATGAACGAAAGACTGAATGAATGAATGAGTCGTAGAGGTATGACTGGAAAAGAGTTGCTTCAGGAATTCTCCAGGCATTTGTTGTAACTGTGCTACCTGGGATGGACACACACATTGGTAACATAAATTGGCACTTTTTAAATAGGATATGGGCGTGCAGCCACGTGATTGGTAGCTTTGTAGAACATTAAACGTGGGATATAATAAATAAAGATTGATCAATAAACAAACGTGATAGTTTTCTTTAGAAGAGCCCTGAGACTAAAATTGCAACATGTAAGCTCTAGAGCCGGAATATTCTATATGCCTTTGGCCAGCTAGAAGCAATTCTATTTTTTTCCATTGCACAGCACATATCATGAACCATAGGTGTTCATTTCTAGGCACCTGTGACATTCCCTAACCAGTCTCATATCTATTAAGGAGAGGACAGTTTGAGTACAGAGCTAACCATTCCATAGCCAGGAGAAAATGCAGAGATCAAGGTTCCATACATCTCTTGACCCGATCACTAGATGATTTGCCAGCACTAAAAACATCCATGGCAGAATTATGTCTGGTCAGGCATTTGAAGAAGCCTTCGTACCCTCTAATTTAAGGATCTTTGGGAAAATGAGACACTGTCATTTAACACAATCTTTAAATTGAATGGAGTCATTCTTGCCAAGTGGCCTAAGGGCTGCTGGTGGAACATCAGTCAATTTTTGCCCTTCTCTTCTTCTAGATGCATGTCTGTGCTTTGTAATTGAATCTACATGTGGCACTGGGGTATTTTTAAAATCTAGAGGTTGGAAATACTTATTGGAAGAGGCTGGTTTACAGGTTGGGGGCTTGGCATTGGCAGCAGCTAAGGGACTCCAAGAATATGGCAGAATTAGGGTTGGCCAGAAGCAGAGGGAATGTGGAAAAGGCCAGGTTTGGCTTAAGAGCCTAGCGTCAGCTGCTATAACCTGGCAAAGGGATAAGAAATTTTTTCACAGCCAGTAGTAAAATGAAACTTATGGAAACAATAAAGTAAATGTTCTGTCTAGCCAGTAAGTCAAATTAGAGAAGATTAGATTTTTCCAACCATGCCTGAAAATCAAGGTAGTTTGGTGGTCTAAGGATAGCCAGGAAATTAATGATATTTCAGGTTCAGAGTTAACGATATACATCAAAGATTGGCAAACTACGGCCCTAGGTCAAATCCAATGCACTGCATATTTGCAGACTCACCAGGAAAGAATGATTTTTACATTTTTAAATAGTTGAAAAGAAAAATCGAAAGAAGAATACTATGTTGTGACACATGAAAATCATATGAAATTTGGATTTCAGTGTCTATAGATAAGGTTTTCTTGAAACTCAGCCACACTTATTTGTTTATGTAGTGTCTAAAGCTGCTTTTGTGCCACAATGGCAGAGTTAAGTGGCTGCAAAAGAGAGCACATAGCTTGCAAAGACTAAAATATTTATTTACCACCTTGTCCTTTTCAGAAGTAGTTTGCTGACTTCTCATATACATGGTCAAATTAGATGAGCTCAGGGCCCATTCCTGGTGAGGTAAAGGCAACCTGTAACACAGCACAAGGAACAAAGCTTCAAGGGAGAAAAGAATTTAGAAGAAACCTGGTCCAGCCTCCTAGCCCATAGAATGTCCTGCAAGAGCCATCCAGACATGGGGACTAACAATTCCAAGAATCCTAGCTCATTATCAAACACCTTGACTCTACCTATTAGAGAAAAATGTTTCTAATGTTGATCTAAAACAATCCTTACCCCCATCCCAGCATGGGCTTTTTTACCTATAAATGTTTTCAACACTGAAAGGGCATTAATCACAGTCCTTCTTGGTCAAACAGTGCACTCCTACCCCATTCCATGGGTTAGCACTTTATGTCTGAAGGAGCTTTAACATTCATTGTCTAATTCTGCCATTAAAACATCTTGCCAGGAGCAGGCCTGCATAATTATTCTTCATACAGACAAAGAATTTGAAGGCTGATACCACAGACTGAATTGTGTTCCCCCACCGCAAATTCACATGTTGAAGCTTTAACTCTCAATGTTACTTACCATATTTGGAATGCGGCCTTTAAGGAGGTAATTAAGATTAAATGAGGTCATAATGGCAAGGCCTTAATTCAGTAGGACTGGTGTTTTATAAGAAGAGGAAGAGACACTGTAGGTCTCCCCTGATCCGCGCAGAGAAAAGGCCATCTGAAGACCTAGGGAGAAGGCACCACCTGCAAGCCTAGAAGAGAACCTGCATCAGAAACCAACCCTGATGGCACCTTAATCTTGGACTTCTAGCTTACAGAGCTGTGAGAAAATAAATGTCTGTGTTTAAGCCACCCAGTTTGTGCTATTTTCTTATGGCAGCCCTTGCAAACTAATACAAATAACAAGGTTAAATAACGTGTTCAAAATGATGCAGCTTCCCAGCAGCAGAACAGAGACTAGTCACTCACTTCAAAAACATTTATTAAGCACCTACTAAGAGCAAGGAGTCTTCCGGGGGAGATAAGGATTACTCAAAGAATCAAACCAATACAAATTTTAAAAGAGCTACCACAGAGAGATGCATGGTGCAACGAGCTGTAAACAAGATGAACTGATTTCCTCAGGTTGGTAAAGGAGGCTACCCTAAGATACAGGTGAACTGAGATCTGGAAAGTGAAGAAAAGTTTATTAACCAAAGGAGGAGAAGAGTGAATTTCCAGAGAGAGGCCATGTGCAAAAACCCTACAGTAGCCAAAAGCACATGGTGTTCAAGGAAATGACAGAAGGCCAATGTGGCTGGAATAGAAAGAGGTGGGGATAGCATACGATGAGGCTGAAAAAGCAAGAACTGGCCAGACTTCTTGTGGCCTTGTCAGCCATGTTAAGTGATTGTGTCTTTATTTTAAGAGCATTTGGAAGTGTTAAAGCACTTTCAACATGAGAATGACTGTTTTAAAATTTCCCATTAGAAATAAAAACTCTGACTGCAGTGTGGAAAACAAGAGGTTGAAGAAAGTCAAGGGGGCTACAGGAAGACCAGTTAAAAGATGATTACAGTAGACAAAATGAGGGATGCATGTAGCTTGGACCACTAAGGTTGCTTTAAAGACAGAGAAGGAAATGGTTATGAGACCTATTTATGTGGTAAAAACATTAGGACTTTTTTATTGATGGAGGATGGGGCCAAGAGGAAGATGTCAAGTGTGACTTCTTGATCTCTGTATATTTATTAGAATGGAAGAGGTGACAGTAACATTTACTGAGATGTGACATAGTACAAGAAAATGTTGATGCCTTTCAGCCAAAGACCAGCAAGTGCAGGCCTGCAGCTGAATAAGATCAGGCATGCTGACTTGTTGCAACAAGAGAGAATGAATGCACACAGTGGGGAAGCATAGAAGATCTCAGAAAGAGACTGCTAGGAGGGACTTATTACAGAACTCAGGCTTCTATTAGGTGATTTGGAGATGATACAAGGAAATGGGAGTTTGCTCTGCTTTGCATGCTGTCGGGAAGCAGGGATCTTTCTATAATTGGGTATCTTCGTAATTCTTACCCAGATGGCTGAATGAAGCTGAAGTTGTGATTATGACTGGTAAAGATAAAACAGGCATGTGTATCCAGGAGGAGGTGATGTTTGCTCATTTTTGTGTTAAGGACGATTATGCTTTTGGATCCTGTTTTTGTCCCGTCTGAGTGGCCTCACCTGATGTTGGCGTGCTTTGACATTGTTTATGTGCCGCAAGGGAACACCACAGCCTAGCTGTAAATAACTGGACGTGCCTAGAAAAGTGACAGCCTAATGCATAAAACCAGTTAAGTTCCTTGCCGTCAGGGCTACTTTTCTCACTCTCAGGCCACCCTTTTGTCCAAAGGCGGAAAAGGTTAAGCTGCAAGGTATTCATCTAGAATGTTCATGTCTCACCGTTGCTGAGTTTTTGCTGGTTAGGTGGTTGTACCAGCCATGTGGTCTATACCCCACAGGTATGGGACCAGGTTTGTTCCCTTTGTTGAAGGACAAGTTGCTTATCATCTGACAAGACGGTGGCTGCACAGTAGCATTTATGACTCTTGGCAAGATACATCAGCCCACTGCAACACAGGCAGTTACCAGAAACAGAAACAAAAATGGTTATTAGTTCTTGTAATAGGCCCTGAAGACAGGGACCTAGATTATGAAACCCAGGCAATGAAAACATGTCCCAGATTTCAAATGGTCTTTTCTAGAGATCCAAGAGGTTTTTTCTTAGCCTAATTATAGATTGTTCTTCCTAGGTGCAGCTAAAAGTGTTTGCTACAGCATAAATTTCCCCTTGGCTAGCTAAGAGGAAATTAAGACCTACGTGATTACTCATGATAACATTAGCTAATGAATCTAAATGTAAACTGTTTAGTTGGGCTTCCAGAGCAGAAGTTGTATCATTCATGATATCCTATAGGGTCATAGATAAGTTCGAGACCACCCTTTCTACTTATACTATTCCTACTCTGGGAATTTATCACAACAGGAATAAGACTTGTTTTTTTCTCTCTCCAGGTGGGAAGATTCTTTGAATGGAGTTTCAACAACTTCTGAAAAGCAAGCAGTTGTGTCACTGAAGAGAACAAGCAGACCACTGTAGCAAGGAGAGCCCCAATATTCTTTCCATTCCTCAAGAGGAGGTTTCTGCCAATCAGGTTTTCATTACTTCAGCAGCGACACTGTATTGAAGTGGTGTCAAAGTTCAATTTTTATAAGACCAAAGTTTGAGATTAATAATGTGAGGGAAATTTATGTATCAGAATGGACCTGTAGAAGGAAATCTACCTTGTGAATTTGCTAAAGGAACAGTCATTACATTTTTGGCAGTAATCAGGTCTATCGAGAGCAGTAGCTGTGGTCTGAGAAAAACACCAGAGCAGTTTGATTTTTCTTAAGGTAGAAGACAATAGGGAGTCAAAAGAAGCAGGATGAAAATAAGGGATATTATGCCAGTAAAGCTTTTAGTCAGCTAATAGAGGGGGTCAAAGCACAATAACAGGCAAGATGTGTGGCAGAGAAAAGGGGAAGGAGAGGGTGCTGAAGAGTTGGAAAGTCAATCTTGGTGCCTCATCCTGAGGGGAGCTGTCCACCTGTGCAGGTAGCAGCTTGTTCTATTAACTTGACTTAAGGATATGTTGAGTTTAAGCTGCTTTTGAGACATCCAAGACAGCATACCAAGCAGCATTTGGATGTATAGGTTAGAAGGTTAAAACAAAGAGCTCTAAG
The DNA here is from genome assembly GCF_000001405.40 of Homo sapiens. Classification (NCBI taxonomy): domain Eukaryota; kingdom Metazoa; phylum Chordata; class Mammalia; order Primates; family Hominidae; genus Homo; species Homo sapiens. The sequence continues at coordinate 51,645,638 of NC_000018.10, read as the reverse complement.
GTGGAGATAGAAATTTGTAGCTCATCTCCCTACAGATTCTGGATGGAGCCATGGAGCCCCCTGGGAGAGAGTCTCAAGACAGAAGAGAACAGGATTCGACTCTGCCAACCTCCATGCTCTCAGTCCCACCATGCTGCTTCTGGACCCACTGCAAATTTCCCCTGTCTTTGGCCAGGTGGACCAGCCAATGCCATCTATTCTGAGCATGAACAGAAGGTTGCTGTTTCTAAGAAGTCAGGGGTCCTCCCTCGACACCATCCTTCCACACTCCCTTTATTGGTTGAGTAAACAGAGGTTGGGTTAGACATAGCAGCAACAAAGAGAAGTACTCCTCTTTTTATAAGCATGGTCTAGAGAGTGTTTTCTATAACTGCCACTATATCATCACTTAATTAGCATCCCCTGTAATGCTCTAAATTCCTTCCTATCTTACATCTACCCATAATAGAGAAGTCCATCATAATGTGTTGCCCTTATCCTTGAAAAATATATAGGGATGTAAAAATTATAGTTGTTCCTCCATATTGGATGGGGATTGGTTCCAGAATCCCCCACCCTCCTTCTCCAAAGATACCAAAATCTGAGGATGCTCAAGTCTCTGATATAAAATGGTGTAGTATTTGCATATAACCTATGCACATCTTCCTGTATACCTAATACCTAATACAATGTAAATGCTCTGTAAGTCGCTATTATATTGTATTTTATTCATATTATGTTTATTGTAGTACTATTGTTTTTTATTGTTTTTTCCCAAATATTTTAAATTTATCGCTAGTAGCATCTGCGGATGTAGAACCATGCATACAGAAGGCTGACTGTATATATTATAAAAAGTTTTTTTATTTCATTTTTATTTACTGAGCCAAAACTGTTGAAAGACAACAGACCAAAAATACTGAATATTAAAATATATATATAGTTTCTTCTTCATTAAAGATAAATGATGAAGTTGAGCTTCCCATGAGTGAAATGGTTTTCCACTCCATGTAGAGAAAACACAGATGGCCTATCATGGCCTATAAGGTTCTCCGTGATCTGACCTGGTTACTCCCAGCCTCACCCCTGACACACTCCTCCATATTCACCATGCTCAAGCCACATCACCCTTCTCTCGATTCCTTGACCTATTCCAATGTTCTCTTTCCCATCTCCAGGCTTCACACACCCTGCAGGGAATACTCTTCCTCTAGCATTCACAGTGCTGATTCCTACTCGTTTATTACCCCAGCTCACATATCACTTCCTCCAAGAAGTGAACTCCCCCACCCAGATTAGTACCTTCAGCTCATTCTTCCTCAGGTACTTCAGTTATCACAATCAGATCTGATCTATAACAATCTATAATCTATAACAATCTAAATATTGGGTGATAGCTTATATCACCCAATATTTATAATATATATTAGATATTATATATAATAGATATATTAGATATAATAGATAGATTATATCTATCACCCAATATTTACAAATGTATGATCCAATCTGATCAATGTCTGTCTCCTCCCTCTAATGATAAGCAAACCTTTTCTGTAACGGGCCAGATAATAAATATCTCAGGCCCTGTGTGCCATGTATTCTCTGCAGCAACTACTCAGCTCTGACATTGTAGTGCAAAGCAGTCACAGATAATACATAAAGTAATGACCATGACTATGTTCCAATAAAATTTTATTTACAAAAACAAGCAGCAGCAGTATTTGGCTCAAGGGTCATGGTTTGACAACCACTGCTCCAGACTGACTATAACTTCATATAAGCAGGGAGCATGTCTATTTTGTCACACTATATTCTTAGTATCTAGCACAGGGTAAGTGCTCAAATACTTATTGAAGACACACATGAATTTGTTGTAGCAAATCCCCAGAACACTGCAACAATGACTTTAAGATAATTCCTCTACCTTCCTTCCTGTCCTTCCCCAGTTAACTCTGAACACCCAAATCAGGGCCATCTGTCTCACCCATTGTTTTGATCAGATTACTTCCCTGCTGAGGAGCTGAAGTTAATTTTCTATCGCATTGTGCATAAAATTTAATTATTTTAATCGCTTAGGAGAGCATTTGCAGTCATAGAAAAGTGATTGGATCCTGAAGTCAAAGACATGGCTTAGAATCTCAGTTTTACCATTTACAAGTTTTATGACCTTTGGGTTAAACTATACAGGAGATATTTAATTCATGTAATGGAAAATCCAGAGACACAGTGAGAATCAGAGCATTTAATCAAGAGCCTAAATGGTGTCATTAAAGGCTCTATGTCTTTAGGTCTCGTTTCTCTGCCTTCTGCAGTGTCAGTTTCATTGCCAGTTGGGTTTATCTTATAAGATCAAATGGCTGCATTAGTTTCAGGCTTCACATCTGCATATCACACCTGAGTATTGCAGAGAAATGGAGATGCTTCTTTCTGAGAACCTCCCAAACAGGCCTCTCTCTGTGGTTTTTCCTGCTTAAATGGACCATTTGCCTATTCTTGAACCACTCTCTGAGGCCAAGGGGAATGCCATGAGTGCCTTAGATCTGGGTCACCAAAATCAGTCACTAAGGTGAAGGGCATGTCCTGACTGGCATGGATCTTTCAAGGACCAACCCTGACACTAGTGTTCAATCCTTGTAAGTGCTTGGCCCTGCAACTAACAATCATTTCAAATTAATTAACTTCTCTTGTTCACACTTATTGTATGTAAAATAAAAATGATACCAGTTCTAAACTTATTATGATAATGAAATGATTAAATGCAGTGATCTACATATATATGTGTGTGTGTCTGTGTATTGCATTGTACATAAAATTTAACTATTTTAATCACTTAGGAGAGCGTTTGCTCTCATAAAAAGGGATTGCATCCCGAAGTCAAAGACCTGGCTTAAAAAATCTCAGTTTTTATCATTTATAAAATATGACCTTTGGGTTAAAATACACAGGGGATATTTAACTCATGTAATAGCCCAAAGACACAGTGAGTTTCAGAGCATTTAATCAACAGCCTAAATAGTGTCATTAAAGGCTCTATGTCTTTAGGTGTCTTTTTACTGCCTTTTGCCTATATAACCCTATACAGAGTGGTGAGAGGGAGAGAGCAAGAATAAGCAAGCTTGGCGCATAGTGGATATTGCATAAACTGCTTTACTTCCTCAGCCCTCTTTCTCTCAAGGTGCTTCAGATGACTTCTACCCATTGTCTCCTGTCATTACCTAACAATCCTGATTTGTTTAACTGAACCCTGATTCACACTCAGCATGAAAATCCTAAATTGTAATTAAGTGTGTAGAAACTTTAAAACCAGCAAAAACACCACTCTTCCTTCAAACCCATGACCTTTGTCATCTAGCATCATCATTATTCCCAATATTATCCTTATCACCACCACCACTGACATCAGCAGAAATCACCAATTAAGCAAGTTCTTTGGTTTGACTGAGTCTGACTACAGCTGCCTGTTGAATCTGGAGTATTGGGAGGGGCTGAGCCAGCTTCTTTGGTAGCCTCTTGCCAGAGAGAGGAAAAGTCCTCAGGAACATAGTGTGCAAGCAGGAGAGGGAAGAGCAAAGAGGCAAAATGCTACCTATTTGTAGATTGACTAGTAAAAATCCTGACATTGTAAAATGCTTATAAACTCTTGCTTTCCATTCCAATAGAATGTCAAAGTGTTTTCTGTGGAAGAAAAATTCTACTGTGGGCAAATGTATGGGAAGACATTTAATGGTACTTCTCAAGCTGTTATCCCCCTACTCACAACTTGCAGCTTCCCAGTGGGCACCGTCTTGGGCATCAACCTACCTCCTGGTAAATCAGCCAAGCTCAGCCCCTCCAAATCTTATTATAAACCCATGGCCTGCTGTGTCCTTTCCTCTGGCTGTAGAGGAGGTGGGGTGAGTGCAGGGAGGGGCTGCCAGTGCCAAGAAAAGCCAGGCAATGGCCCCCTTGTTGAAGCTGGGCTAACTAAAGCTGTTTTAGCTCAGGATGAATTTTGCTAAAATTATCCCTGTTGAAATTATATATTCCAGTTTAATGTTTCAAACCCCTGATTGATTGCTCAAGTTTGAGCTGTGATAACAGTGGTTGGTGCTCTTCAAGAGGCTGAAAATGCCAGCTCTTGGGAAAATGACAGTTCTTTGAAAAATAATCAGGTTCACGGCACATCTCTCTTCAATAGAAAGATTATCACTGGGTTCACAAAATTATCTATGATGGCCTTTTTCCCCAGCACTCATGGTCCTTTACTACTAACTAGAGATCCTGTGAAAAGAGAAGAGTCATTTCATTTTAACTTCCTGTTTATGTCCATTATTCTTTCACTATCCCTCTCATCACAAAGGATATTTTGCTGGAAAATAAATTCATTCTGTATGGTTTGAACACTTCTTTCCTGGAAAGCAGAGGATTGGGTTAGATGACCTCCTGGTGTTCCTTTGTATCCTTGGAATTTTATGAGTCTAGGATTCCTGGTCTGGAATTGTCAGAAATATATTGTATTATGTCATTTCTGCTACTTATGAAATTAATCAACACTGATGGCAAGAGCTACAGAGAAGGAAGATGAGCAATAATGGAGATGCTGCTGCTGCTGCTGCTAACATGGGGGTGAAGAATTCTTCCTTGGGGGGGCAGGAGGGCAGGTTTAAGGTGTAATAATCATTTAAATTTAATTTCCAAAGAACCTGCTGACCTTTGCTTCCTCTTATTGAAAGTTAGAAATAAAAAATTAAAAATCTGCAAGGGTAGAAGTGATGGCATTAAGAAAAGAGTGCCAGCTTTGAATACTTGTAAAATAGGGCTTAGATCCAGGACCTCCAGGCCTTAGATAAGGATAATATGTTTGAAATCAAGTAAAGTTCCAATATTTTTTGGCCCCTGAAGAAAAGCCATACAAGTGATTATTTCTTGTAAGTTTCTAAGCTTTTAGGCTTCTATCAACTCTTTAGGATAAAGTGAGCATTCACTCCCTCCAAACACAAAGGCTACAATCCATGTAACTGAGTTGACAATTACACATGAGGCCATGTAGTTGTATTTATAATTGGTATGATATACAGCTCTTTTTTTCAAATATTAAAAGCAAGATGATTCCGGCACACCATAACTAAGTACAAAGATAGGCTTATCTAGCCAAATGATGAAAATAAATTTAATAATAAAAGCCCACCAGAAAAAAACAACTGCTCATGTGAATCTAAAGGAAACTTGTCCTGCCATCTGCTGCTGTTAGCATTTTCTATTGCCATATTTGCCTACTCTCTTCCAGAGCCTAGCGCTGCTATGCTCCTCATATTGAGTAAGCAACTGGGCAGGAGAACAGAGCAGTTAGAGGGATGGGAGTGAATACAAAAGGCACTTCACTATCTCCAGACTCAGTGTGCCATTTTTCCCAGCAGAGTAGACGTCAGCAGTGCAGGTATCAAAGCTGGACTTCTCCAGGAAAGCTTTCATCATGGGACTGAAAGACAAAAAAGGACTAAGGAAGTAAAGACTTGGGTGAGCTTAGAGATCACAGAAGCCATCAGATAGAGTCACTTGGCTACACCAGTCTCCTACTGCCCTCCCCGCAAGTACCACGCAACATGAAACTAGTTGGGTCTAAAGGCTGTGTCAGAGAGGGTCTGCCAAGAGGAAGAACACATGCATGAAGGCATTGTCAGCAAATGCACTGAGCCATTTATAAACATTCCAAAGCCTGGGACAGTGTAGAAGCACATTAGAGGAGAACCAGGATCTTCATAAATAAAGAATCAGGCATGGTTGGGGGTAGGGGTGTTATTTGATGTTTCCCTATAAAGAGAAGAGCTTAGGAAACAAGGTAATTAAATGATTATAGGTCCATGTGGCTCCTATCCCACAAGCTTAGGGGGCAGGGAAAGTGGAATTAAGGGAGCTATGAGTAGAGGGCAGCATACAGTTCTATCCATCATTCCCCAGGGAGCCTGTTTGCTTAGACTGTGCTCCCTGCTAAGAAGGAAGGAAACTCCTACTGTAGATTAGGCTCAGTGCCCAAAGGGGCTGTAGTGTGGCCATGTTTCTCAGAGGGAGAATAACCAAGCTGTGAAAAGGGCTCAGACCTTCCCCCAAGAAAGATGGTTTGACCCCTGTGGAGACTTTCCATGATGTCCCCATGCAAAATAGAACTCCTGATGGGAATCTTGGCAGAAAACTTTCAACCAGAGAAGGCCTGATGGACTGCCATCTTTGGACACCTAGTAGGGCCCACACAGGGCCCATAGCAGGGTTTCTCCAAGACAGGTGCTCAGCAGGAGCCTAAGTCAGCTGGAAGAACAGTCGAAGATAGGCTGGATGAGCCATGTCTGCATGTTCTGTGCCTGTCCATGACATACAACTGTGCCTGGCAAAGAAGAACCACATGTTGACATAAAAACTGGTGAGATTGTGGGAGAATATTGGTCCATGAAGGGATAGGCTAGTAGGCACAGCTCCATCCGGATGGCTATTATAGAAAGCTAGGCCCTGATGGCTGGGGTGGAAATTGACCTGGAGCATCGAGATATGGTTCTTAAGGTTTTCATTTTGGTTTGTTGGTTTGTTTTTTGCTGAGAGGGAAAGTGGGAAAGAGGGTTCTGGTATATACATAAAATGAAAGCTGTAGGTCAACTTCTCCCCTGAAGAAATGCATAGGCATGTGATTTGGCTTCTAATCTGGGGAGCTCACAGAAGCCTGAAGTCTGTGTGTGTGCCCAAGGTTAAGAACCCCTGCTCAGAGATGTTTTCTGATAGACAGATGAGGAGTTTTTATATATATATACACACACCATGTTCTCACTTAGAAGTGGGAACTAAATATTGGGTACTCATGGACATAAATGTGGCAACAGTAGACACTGGTGACTACTGGGAGAGAGGTAGGAGGGCAAGAATTGAAAAAATATCTATTGGATACTATGCTCACTACCTGGTGATGGGATCAATTGTATTCCAAACCCTAGCATCATGCAAGACACCTGTGTAACAAACCTGCACATGTATCCACCAAATCTGAAATAAAAGTTGAAATTCAAAAAAGGAAAAGAAGATCTTAAGAATCCAACCAGGCAGGGTGCAGTGGCTCATGCCTGTAATCCCAGCATTTTGGGAGGCTGAGGCAGGTGGATCACAAGGCCAAGAGATCAACACCATCCTGGTCAACATGGTGAAACCCCATCTCTACAAAAAATACAAAAATTAGCTGGACATGGTGGCATCCATCTGTAGCCCCAGCTACTCATGAGGCTGAGGCAAGAGAATGGCGTGAACCCAAGAGGTGGAGGTTGCAGTGAGCCAAGATCGTGCAACTGCACTCCAGCAGCCTGGTGACAGAGCAAGACTCCATCTCAAAAAAAAAAAAAAAGAATCCAACCAAATTTCAAGGCTAGTTCAAAAAGGTATCAGAAACTAACTGATCACTAGGTCGTTCTGTCAATTGATTAAGGACCAAAGGGGTGGATGGAGCTTAGAGTTTTCTAACTGACAGAGAGAAGGGATAGTACCTCCTTTGGCTCAGGCAATTCGGCATGTACTTTATACCACTTAATGCCTCTCAATGATTCTCATATGATTGATGAAGAAATCAAGGTTCAGAGAGTTTAGAGAGCCTGTACAGGATCGCAGAGCAAATAAGGAAAGGACCCAAGCCTAAAATGCAGGCAAGTTGACTTCAACACTTAGACATTTTTAAAAATCACACCACACAATCTTCCCTTTATATGCCAACCTTGGATTACACAAAGAAATAAATTCGTTCATTATTTTTTAAAAAACCAATCTGAGTATATATTGCCTTCAATAATCTAGAATAAAAGATTTATTCAGATGCAATGAAGAAAAAGCAATATAAAATATCATGTAAATGAACTGGCAACATGTAAAGCTTAGGCCAATGGGCAGTGGGCAACCAGAATGGGACCTCACCACACAATGTGGAATAGCCGGAGAGGCTTCCAAGGGGAAATGGTGTTTTGAATCAGCTCTGAAACCCAGCAGAATCCTGAATTGACTCAACTTTATATAGAACTTGGGTTTAGCTAGACTAAAATCTTCTAAAAATTGACCTCAAATATTACCTTTGATATGCAAGAATATTTATGGAAGGCAGAAGGGGGAATTCTTGAACAAAGAAAAGTTTCTCAGCTCATAAGCCTCAATTCCCTGACAGTCTTTGATAAACAATAGCTAATTTTGTTGAGCACTTATTATCTGCCAGGTAATGTATTAAGTCATTTAATCCTCAAAAAATTTAATGGATTGGTATTATTACCATCCACGTTTTAAAATGACATCAACTTGGCCAAGACAGAACAGGTAGGAAATGGAACAGGCAGGATTTAGACCCTGATAGTCCAGAACTGATGGGCTTCTTCTAACCATAGTCCATGTTGACAAATTGGTGTGATTGGCAGTTTGGGGAACCTGGGTTAGTATACCACATTGACAGGGCCAAGGGAAATCTAGAAAGATCATATGTGACAATGGACTTGGTATGCATTGGGGTACATAAATTATTATGTTGTGAAAGTAAAGGTCATCAGATTATCAGTTTTTGAGTAAACTACCTGAAACCGAAGGAGGAGGAATATCTATGTATCTGATCTTTCCCACTGGCAAACAATGCTGTTCTCTGAAGAGGTGTTCTCCCATTTGAAATCATGTTTATTCCAACCCTGAGCAGTGTTTTGTTCTTAGAGTCCAGCAAATAGTCCTGAAGGGAGCTGACCTTGTTTTAAGGGCCTCTCTTAAATCAAGGGTCTCTTGTTTGTTACATTCCCTAACTTTAATCACACTTTAACCTTTGAGGTCCTACATTTTCAAAGCTGGATTGACTTACAAAAAAACAAAAGAGAAGAGAAAGATTTATAAATATGTATAAATGCCTACTCCGTGAGCCCCAAATATGAGACAGGTCTCAGTTAATTTAGAAAGTTTATTTTGCCAAGGTTGAGGATGCACATCCTCAGCCTTGTGACACAGCCACAGGAGGTCCTGATGACATGTGCCCAAGGTGGTCAGGGTACAGCTTGGTTTTATACATTTTAGGGAAATATGAGACATCAGTCAATATATGTAAGATGTATGTTGGTTCTGTCCAGAAGGTGGGACAACTCGAAGCAAGGAGGGGGCTTCCAGGTCACAGGTAGGTGAGAGACAAATGGTTGCATTCTTTTGAGTTTCTGATTAACCTTTCCAAAAGAGTCAATCAGATATGTGTCTATCTCAGTGAGCTGGGGGGTGACTTTGAGTAGAATGGGAGGAAGGTTTGCCCTAAGCAGTTCCCAGCTTGACTTTTCCCTTTAGCTTAGTGAGTTGGAGGCCCCAAGATTTATTTTCCTTTCACATTTCCCTCCTTTTCTTTTTACAATCTTTTGGAAAAAGCATTTTAGAAGAAAAGGAGTCTCTGGTCTCAGGTTTCATCTAATCTCTCATGGCTAGGACAGTTTTTTCCCAGATAGGTAGGGCCCGAGTTATTAGGAAAACTCATTTTTAGCAGGTTGTGAAGCCTTATGTCCCATGAAGAGAAAATAAGCAGGGAAAGGAAGAAAAACAACAACAAACAAAAGAATAATCCTGGAAAATCGATATAGGCCACATTACTCTGAAGTCCATACATCAGTAGGCAGGTATGAGAGTTGGCTTATGTATGTAAACAGGTTGCTATTATTGTCTTCTGAAGCTAAGTTGTCTAGTTTCAGTTCACATGGCTTTAAGAAAACACAACTTAGTTTTCAGTGATTTCAAATTAGGAAAAATTGAGGGGAAAAGGAAAAGAAGAAAAAGGAAGAAAAAAATTGAAAACATTATTTTGGAGACTTGTAGCCAGGGAAAATTAGAGTTCAATCCAAACTACAGAAAATAATAAAAATTGAAAAATATTAGGCAAGACTAGAATCAACAAAAGGTATACTGTAGTTTTGAAACATATTTTTTTCTCTCCAATTTCCCATTTTAAAGTCAAATTATGGTAGTACCAATTTGCTTTATTATACTTGGCTAGATTACTTCTATAAGGTGCAGAAAGAATAATTATTTTTCACATGGGCTTTTTAAATTGGTTTTGATGGAACTTTGTTCTATAGAAGGAGTCTCAGATAAGACTTTTTTAAAGCTGAGCCCAGCCGTGGATTTGTACCATCAAATACCTATAAGTTGGGTGAATTCCTTTCTTCTTGAGGTCACAAGATGACTTGGGGCTCCTTGGCCTGTCAGAAAGTGATATTCTTTACTTATCCCATGTCAGGAACCCTGTACCAGGACAGTGAAAACAAGGTATGAGGCCAGTTTTCCCAAGGGGCTTTCATTGGCTCTGTAAGTAAAGTTTGATTCCTTAAAGGAAAGCACACTATTCCAGTGAAAGCCTTGGTAAAATAATTAGTTTCTCTAATTGTGTCTGTTACAAATGAAAACAGATTCTTATTGCACTTATGTAAATAACTGTATTTCCATAAGTTAAGAACACTCACACATATTTTCTAAATTCTGAAGAAATCAGATAGAGAGAAACAAATATGCTCCAAATTTCTTTCATAGAAGTACAGTGTATTTAATTATTAAAACCTGTCAATACCTCAAAAGAAAAGTTTCCTTGACTCAGAAAAATGAAACAAAGGATCAGCCACATTTTAAGCAAAAAGTCAAAAGGATTACTTCAGTCTTCTACTAGTTCAGTCTATGCAGTTAATTCCTGTTGTGCTTGATATTCATGAATATTTCGGCTCTCCATGATTACAGAAAGTTTTCCCTCTATTCTGCTGTCACAATCTCCAAAGTTATCAGAAATCTGCATTCAAGAATACCTGTTAGAGCTTTATAGCTGATTATAAAACCACTTTCTAAAGAGGGCCAAAACAAGACAATAATTGTCCATGGATGACAAAAAGTTTTAGGGCAGCTATAGCCAAAGACACAATAGACAAGGAAATTTCTTACCTCTGTAATACACAATAATTTAACATATATTATCTTACACAACAATTATAATTATTGCTGATAATATATACTAAGTCATATCAGAATTATAGGAGTTTCTCATAATTTTGGAACACATACCAATAACATATTTATACAAATACAGCCCAAAGAAAGCCAAACACCATTTCCTATTTGACAACGCTTCCTGTATAATTTTTATACCAAATAAGCCAAATATGTCATTTTTGGATTTTAGAGAACCTCATATTTTAAAGAATTAACTAGGTCAGAAAGAGACATAATTTATAATTTGATTTTCAAAAGTTTGTCAAATACCAAAGGTATAAAACACTTGATATCACAAAATAGGATCACAGGTCATTGTCAAATAAGTCATTCATTTAACCAAAGTGATAACTCAAGGATTTCCAAAAAAGGTGAAAACCTTCATTCTTTCAGAGAGGAGACAAATTTCCAAACAATAAGTCCTAATAAAATCGCATTAAGCCAATTAAATTTGTTTTTCAGAATGTTATAAACGATCTATAAAATTTTAATCTTAACCATAAGATATAACTTCCATAGGCCTTTTATAACCTTTATAACCTTTATTAAGGAGTCAGTTAGTGCTTTAAGAAAACCTTGTTAATCTGCCACAGGGGCCCATATGCTGGTCTTACATCAGTGTGCCTTTGACATTTATGGTTAATTTATAGAGAATCTGAACTTATTTTATCTCTCAAAGTCAACCCTTACAATCTCACATGCCTACCTCTTCCACAGTAGTCCCTGGGTCTCAAGGAGTTGAAATAGCTTTAATTTCTGACCCTGTGTCTCAGGAACACATTTTACTTTGATTGGCATCTTCTATCAGGCCTAAAGATGAGGCATTAATCGCTATCAATGCTTAAGATTTAGCAGGACTTGGTGTCCTTTTTAGATACAGGAGTCAAAGCCTTGTAACTCAATGTCACAAAAACTTTAAAAGCATACACAGAAAGATATACAAATGTAGTAACCTTAATTTAAAAGAAAAAAAGTGTTTTGGCTGGGTGTGGTGGCTCACACCTGTAATCTCAGCACTTTGAGAGGCCTAGGCAAGCAGATCACACGAGGTCAGGAGTTTGATACCAGCGTGGCCAACATGGTGAAACCCTGTCTATACTAAAAATACAAAAATTAGCCAGTGTGGTGGTGTGTACCTGTAATCCCAGTTACTGTGGAGGCTAAGGCAGGAGAATCACTTGAATCCAGGAGGCAGAGGTTTCAGTGAGCCAAGATCTTGCCATTGCACTCCAGCCTGGGTGACAGAATGAGATTCCATCTCAAAAAATAAATAAATAAAAATAAAATTTTTAATCTCAGTTTTTTTATAAGTAAACTAAAACTGAATAATAATGGCACAGAAATGATTTCAATAAAATGCAAAATCTGTTAGGCCAGTTAAAAAAGGCAAAAGAAAACATCTTCTGCAGTGTACAGAATATTATGTTGGAAGAAAACATTTCCTTCAGACAAACAGAACCTGAGGAAAAAAACTTACATGAGCTGAAAATGAGTTGAAGGAGAGTGTTACTATTTTGCACCTTTTAAAAGGGGACAGAAAACTGAAAACAATGAGATGCAATAAAAGTTGAACTTTGGGTTAAAAAAAATTAAAATATCACAATTTATTAAATCAACCCCTTAAGAAAATTTAATTGTTTTAATCAATTCTTTAGTGTATAAGTGGTTTTTTTTTAACTTGAAACCCAATCTCTGGGAAGACCATTATAATTTCCCTTTAATTATAGACAACTTGATCATATAAAAGTGTTTGATTTTTTTAAAAAAAAATAAATCCTCTTATTGTGACTTATACAGACCATTCATGACATGCTTTAACTTTCTGGTCTGTCCTGAACATCTCTTTCTTAAATAAACAGTCATTTTATTCTAGGGCTAAATTTATCATACAAGATTCTTTCTTGTATAAAATGATTTCTCTTTAAGCTTTCTCACCAAAAACTACCTCTTTACTTCTATAACTTTCTTTACATCTCTCTTATTTCCTGGTTCCTTTTACTTTGTTTTACATATAACCTTTAAATAAGCTTTGAATTAGAAAAAATTATGCACCTTTTTAAAAAGGATGCTTTTTTAAGAAAGAATGTTTTCCTACAATATATTTTTATTGGAAAATAACCAAATAATGAACTAACTTTAGGAAAAACTTAGTTTATAGGTTAGCTTATAACAAAGATGATAACAGTCCTTTCCCAAAACAAACCCCCTTCCTGCCTGAGGACTAGACTGTCTAAAGCCACAAGATTAGAAGTTATGGTTATTTTGCTAAACAATTCAAGATTTAGCTGTTTTCATTAGGCCAATATCATTGTCTTATTTATTAAAAATTACACAAGCAAAGATCCTTCTGTTTTGGGCTGGGTTTATAGTTTTGTAACCGCTATGCCAGATTTTGACACCTTGTAGTATTTCGCAGGGATAAGTGTGAAATTGCTTGATCAATAAATAAATACAAAAATTGTATGCTGGCAATTAAGACATTTTTAATATTACTTGGCTGATAATTTTTAAGCTATCTTATTTATTAAAGAGTTTACTTAGTCACATAAACTTGAAAAAGGATTTGACCAGTCTTTCCTTTTTTCTGATAAAGTATTTGATTTAAATGCTTTTACTTTTCTTTAAGCTAATTAATTAGAGCTCTTTTATATATTTTTAGTAGTGAAACACTGTGTACACGACACATAAATATATAGATGTATTAGGCATACTGATAAAAGTGCATCTTATAGATTCATAAGACCTCCTTTTTTTTCCTATCTTAGACTTGCAAACACTTGATAACCTATTTCATTATCCTGGCAGTTGTCAGCTAAATAGCCCTAAATCTGCACACTGAAGCAAAAAACTCTTAGGTGAAAAATCAGATAGCAAAATTTATATCTCAAGGTACAAAGATAAAAAGTCTGGTGGTGCTAGAGGGAGATTAAAGATGGATGCCAATTAAACATAAAATTATAGAAATCTATCATAGGATTGTATAAGGAGACCAATTTTATTTAGATAGGGACTACCTATATTTTAACCGGATCTCTGGGCTCTGGGCAGAGCCCACCCTAAATCCTGGGTCTCTAAAGAGGGAGAATTAGTATGAGACTAGACCACGTGATGCTTTTACAGTGCACTTTTAAAAATTTTCTTAAACAAAGACATTTCTAAGTGTCAAAACTACACTTTTCCTTAAAAAGACAAGAATAGTCTCTGTTGGAATAACATTTTAGTCAAAAAAAAAAAAAGTCAGGTAACACAATACAAAAGCAAACAGTTTAAGAGCTGAGACAAGCTTGTCTATTTACACTCTTGGGGTTCCATAAGGAAAAACAGAGGTTTCTCCCCATAAGGGAGCCTGGTGCCTTCTCCATTTTCTTTAAGGAACTCCATGCTATTATAAACTATTTTAGGTCCCTCATGCAGCAGAGGATGCAAGAGAAAGGAGTGACAGAAGAAGTAAATGAAAAAAACAGAATTCTGTCAACTGAAAAGAAAAAAACTTTTGCTCAAAAAAGGACAAGGTCCTAGGTGAGAAAAAAAAAATACACATGAAAGCCCTTTAAATACAAGCACACACACATACACATGCACATCTTGGATGTTAGCTTTAAATTAAGCTGACTTTTAACCATTGAGTTCCTTTAAACAAATCTTTTTAAATCTCATTACTATATTTCAGCTAGGACAAACTGCTGCTATTTCAGAAGTACCAAGTATCAAACAAGAAAGAGCTTGATTTAGGAACCAAAGCCAGGTTGTCATGGTGAAAAAAAGAAAGCAGAACCTTAGCTATGAAACTGCAGCATGGGGTGACAGCCATTGCTTTTTCAGTTAGGCCTAGCTAGCAAACAGGTGGCCTTGTTATATAAATAAAACCCCTTAAGTAGTCAAAATAAAAAATCTTTCCCTTTTTTTTTTTTCTTTCTTTTGCTGGCCATTTTTCTCCCCCACCACACCACCATTTTTGTGTAAGTGGGAATTTAGCCACTTCAGAGGCCTTGCTCCCCATAATTTGGAACTTTCCTTCAATTTGATCAAGTTGGATAGAGTTGATCAAATCCAATGGGAAAAACACTGAAACAACAAAAACAGACACAAACAAACAACAAAAAGAACCAGTTAAGCAAAACAAACAAATGATCACACAACTTACATGATTACTGAGCATTCTAATAGTAAGGAGAAAATAAGACCAGCTGGTTGTTAATCTTCAAGTTAGCCAAGACAAACCCCAATTCAGTTACTTTAGCCAAGACAAACCCCAATTCAGCTAGGGATTGGTCTCAGGCTGAAGACTACTCTCTGTCATCCTAGAAGCAGGAAAAAAAGCAACAACAACAACTCATCTTCTCTGTTGGAAGTGAGCTCAAATTTCATAAAGGAAAAGGAGTTACCTGCCTTTCATTGTCATAGAAGCAGGAAAAACGTGCCCTTCTTGTGTTGGAAGCAAGTAAAACTCCAAAAAAAAGAGGAGTTGTACAGCAAAATAAATTTTAGATCTCAACCAAATTTGGGAAGCTTAAGGATTCCCTGGAGGGAGGTGCTCTCAGGCCTCAGTAAATTATGCTATTGGTTTGAGCCATAAAGTTAGCTCATGTTGGTACCAAGCATCAATAAGAGATTAGTCAAAGGTCAGGGGCATCTCCACTCAGAATCCCTCTGTTGTTACCAAATGTGAACCCCGAATATCTGAGACAGTCTCAGTTAATTTAAAATTTTTATTTTGCCAAGGTTGAGAGTGCATGCCCATGACACAGCTTCAGGAAGTCCTGACAACATGTGCCCAAGGTGATCAGGGCACAGCTTGGTTTTACACATTTTGGGGAGACATAAGACATCAATCAATATATGTAAGATGTACATTGGTTCTGTCCAGAAAGGTGAGACAATTCAAAGCGGGTAGGAGGTTTCCAGGTCACAGGTAGGTGAGAGACAAATGATTGTATTCTTTTGAGTTTCTGATTGGCCTTCCAAAAGAGGCAATCAGATATGCATCTAGCTCTCTGAGCAGAGGGATGATTTTGAATAGAATGAGAGGCAGGTTTGCCCTAAGAAATTCTCAGCTTGACTTTCCCTTTAGCTTGGTGATTTTGGTGCCCTAAGATTTATTTTCCTTTCAAAATCCAAATGTAGATGAACATCCATCTTGGAGCATGGTGCACACCTCCAGTTCCATAAAAGGACAGGGGGCATGTGTATAAACAGCTCAGACAATGGCTCCAATGATTCAGCAAGATTCACCCCAAAATTGATGGTTGATGCTCAGCTGCCTTTGTGGTCCAGTCTTCTACAGTATAATGACTCTAAATCCATCACCTCCAAAAATGTTCGTGTTTCTCAATGGAATGATATCAATTTACACTTTTTGGTTAACACTTTTCAGTGATTTTCTTTCACTCATTTTCCATAGGCTTGTTTCTCTCTAAGGATTTCTTAATGTTCTTTCATATATCCTGGCTTACATACATAAAAATGCTTAGTACTGCTGGCATTCTCAACTCCACATTCATACATTCCAGTCCTTGGCACATTAATATTAGGAGCAAATGAAGTGCTGGATATGTGCCAAGTGATGTTCTAAGCAACTACATATATTCACTTATTTAAATTTTTGTGACAACCTCATGAATTACGATTGTTTTATAAAGAAATGGGAACGCAGAATGTTCCAGCCATTTGCCCAGTATGTATTGGCCAACAATATATTTATACTTCAACCCTAATGTCTCTCTTGTAGCTTTAACTTATTCACACTATATTACTAACTTCTACACATATACTAGTGCAAATGTTAGGGCAAGAAATTTTCCCAAAATATCAAAAACTTAAGGCAGTAATAATAATGGCTTCTATTTATGGAGCTATTGGCATTTCTTATACCTTACAGTTTCAATGGCAAGCCTGCAAAGCTGTACAGTTGACCATATTTTTTTAAAACTCTCTTAGACAAGTCAGATGAGTCAAGTAGATTTTTTAAGATCATCAGCAGGTCTGTGGAGATTTGACACAGATCTGATCTCTTTCACTATAATTCATCACCTTAATATTAGCACAATGGGCACAACCAGCCTAGTATAGGCAAAAAACCACTTGGATAAAGTATAATTATTTTAGAACTTCTTTTTTTTTTTTTTTTTTTTTTTGAGATGGAGTCTTGCTCTGTCACCCAGCCTGGACTGCAGTGGTGTGATCTTGGCCCACTGCAACATCCACCTCCTGGGCTTAAGCGATTCTCCTGCCACAGCCTCCTCAGTAGCTGGGATTACAGGTGTGTGCCACCACACCTAGCTAATTTTTTTGTATTTTTAGTACAGATGGGGTTTCACTATGTTGGTCAGGCTGGTCTTGAACTCCTGACCTTGTGATCCGCCTGCCTTGGCCTCCCAAAGTGCTGAGAGTACAGGCGTGAGCCACTGAGCCCGGCCTTTTATTTTAGAACTTCTGATATCCGAAGAAGGAAGTGTTGCCCACAATTAGACATGAACTCTAGGCCTTAGGAAAAATGGTTTCTAAAAGTTCAGAGAAAAGGTAGGTATGACTTCTGATGACACTAGAAAAGTTAAAATGTCTGAAAGGGGAAGGAAGGTTCACAGAAAGTAATTCAATCAGAACAATAACAAATGACATTGATCATGAAGGAAAAAATGAAGCATTTTTTAAAAAAGAAAAAAAAAGCTCTACAGAGATCTCTAATGATCTCAGATTTTTTTAAGAAATGCATGAAATAATTAAAGGAGGCACATATAACAAAGCAATACAAACCAGCCATGATGCTACTAGGAAAAAATGGAGCCCAAACTGCACTGAGGCTTAACAGGACAGTGTAAGAGCACTGAAAGAGGGCATTGCACTGGTTTCAGAGCAGAAAGAAGAATGAGGAATGGAATAGCCCAGTGCTTGGGGGTAAATGGTGTCATATTGAAAGCAAACAGAGAGAAATAGGACAATTCAACTTCTATATTGCTTTCTCTATCAAGGAAAGCAATCTTCAAACTGGGATGGCTAGAACAAATATGGTTAGTAGGAAATTGAAACCTCAGATAGGCAAGAAGACAATAAGAAAACACCTAGCCACTCTAAATGAGTTCAAGTCCACAGAACCAAGTGAATGACTTTCATCCCACTCCGAAGAAAGGTGTGGACTGTGGAGCAGCTGCAGAGAGAATTGTAGGATTAGGGAGAACAGGAATATGCTCCAATTTTTTAAAAAGCATGGAATGGGTGTATTACATAAAGTTGTAAAATATCAATGCCCAGCAAAATTTTAAAAGTTTAAATATATTTTAATATTTAAAAGATAACTACTAAACAAAATTACTTGTGCCAACATAATTCTTATAAAATAAACTTTACCAAACTAACTTTGTCTCTGTGTTGAGAAGTTACCATGGGATGTCAACACAGTTTTCTAGGTTGAGATTTCAAGAAGTCATCCTCAAACTATCCCTATGGACAATATAGATACACATAGATTGAAAGATGGTTACATAAAGAAGAGTTTCTTAACTAGTTGAATATCTGGAGATGTAGGCTATTTATACTTTCATTTCTGTCCACCTAGAAAGCAGTGTGCAGTGATGGAGGGGCGCTCTTCTTGCTCTGGAGAGACAGCTCATATATTTGGCACATTTTTTATTACTCATATGACTATATAGAAATTAGACACATGATATTTTGATGCAGTCATTTTGAAGACAAGTTGACAGCCCTAAAAAACAACTTAATGTTAAGAAACTTTTTAAAGTAGCAATTAACATAATTACACACAAACTTCATTCCTGATCTTTATTCCATTTCTCAGCGAATTTTAGAAATGTAGTCAGGTCAAGCCCAGGAATGGGACAGGGCTCTGAGATATCCATTGCTAGAGAATAAAAAATGATACATTTTAAGAAATATTTTGATATAAAATGTAAGCTATTTTGAGTTACCCATTTTGATATGACCAAATTAAAATAGCCACATCAAGATGACTGCATGAAAATCTCTTTCCATGTATTTATCTGCATCACAGGTTTTAAAACTCCACTGCAATAAGGACAAATCTCTCCAGCATATCACCATAAGTTCACTTTCCAGGTCGGCCATAACTCATTATGCTTCTAATATTTGTGAGGATAGAAGGATGGAGGAATAGCTGGTATGCTGGCTGGAGGGTCAGTATTTCATGGCTCTCCCCTAAGCCAGATGGTGTCTTCTCACCCATAGGGAATATAAGTAACTAGACTGCATGTCATTCTAGGTTCTTTGGTGCAAGCAACAGAAATAGACCCTGGCTAACCAAAGCAAGAAAAGATTTTGTAGGAAGAACACTGGGCAGTGGATGCAATAACAGAAAAGGTGAACAACCAGATCTTGAGAACGCCAAGAATCAGAGTAGCTTCAGGATGTCAGTAGACAACCCAAAGACTGCATCTGCAGGGAAGTGCCACGTACAGCTTCAGATCCACCATCCATCTGTCCCTCAGTGTTTCTACTCAAGTTTCAGAGCTCGTCTCTTGTGCCCTCCCTGTGATTAGGGCTCCTGGAGTCATGTGACTGAGGGACAGCCACATGGATAGAAGAGGGCAATTTCCCAAGGGAAAAAGAAGGGCACCATTACCAGAAGAAAGAGGCAGTATGCCAGGAAAGAGAGAAAAAGAATATACAAATATATCCACCAGAGACTTGTACTTCAGTCACTCATTTTCAAAAATACAGGTTTTGCCTCACCTGCTTCATGTAAATAAAGGATGTTGTTGACTGCAAGCTCAGTAACCGAGAACAACAGTGTTTATGCCACACGTATTTGATTTTAATAACACTCTACTGTCAATGCAAGGGTGAGGCTAGCTACATCGCTCAGCTTTATTCCCGTCTTATGTAGAGTTTAGTTTTCAATTATTGGTTTTACATTTTAGGAAGAACACTATGAAGGTATTTGTCTCAGGCCCCATTCCCTCTCTTCCGTCCTCTTCTCTGTAATCTAGAGGGCCTGAGACTCTGGAAAGTTAATTTCTGCAAGTCTCTTGCCAGTGGCTTTCAGTTAGGGTATGCCAATGGAAAGCACGGCAAGAAACTGGGATATGGGAGGAGGGAAGAAGCAGCTCTCTTCCTGAATCCAAGTTCTCTCCACATCTTTCCAGCAGCAGGTGGCAGCTCACATCCAAGGTCTTTTGGCAGTTTCCACATCTGCATGGAAAACCTCTTCCTTGGAGCCAGTGCCGATCTCACCTGCTGAGATGCAGCATGTTAGTGATGCCAGCAGCAGCCATGGTGGTCCCAGCATTAACCAGGCAGTGCCCCTTCAGATGTTCCAGCACCAGCAGCTCAATTCCCCTTGGTAATACCAGCGCTGTCCATGTACCTCTGCCATGGTTCCCACTCTGCCTAGGGTGCTCCCCACCCCCACCCCACTGGGATTCCAGGCAACAGGACACTTCCTATTCATTCTGTAGGAATGGAAGTCTCTTCCTGAATTTACTAATCTGTGGGTTTTCTCACTTTTGCCTTTATTAATTGCCTTATATTAATTTCCCTTTATTGGAAATATTGAGAGTATTTATAGCTTCTTTTTAGACTTGAAATGTGCATTTTGTACAAAGGAAAACTTAAAGAATGTGATAACTGGCTTCAACTATCTGAAGAGCTTTCATCTGAAAAGGGGACTATATTTATCCTGTGTAGCTCCAAAGGGCAGAAAAGGGATTAGTGAGCAGAAGTTTCAAGAAAAGGGTTTCAGCTCAAAATAAGGAACAGTTCTCTAAGCACTTAAAATGCCCAGGATGGAATGTACTGGGTTCCTTCTATTGAGGGGTAGTCAAGTAAACAATGGGTTTCCACTCCTCAGAGACACTGGAGGGGAACCTACCAGAGTGACAAGCTGGACCAAATCAACTCTCAGAGGCCTTAGAGTTCCCATGAAGAACTACAGACTTTAATGAAAGGTTTGATCATTTTCTACTGGAGCTGTAACACAAATCTAGGATATTTAGTGACCTGCAGAAAAATGTAACATTTATCCTCTGGGGTCTATCTTGGTCCCAGACTAATTTAAAACAATGACTCTTATCCCCAAACTGAAGAAATTCAATCTCCACTATTTTACACCCTTCTGAAAGCTGACACCAGTTAGTAGAAAGAAGCCCCTCATTTGCTTTCCTTTCTGCTCCCTCTGGGTCCATTCTGTGTGCCTGGGATTTATGCCCCGAGGGCTTTAGGGAGTCAGGGACAAGGATGACTGCAGTCTCCAGCTAATGGCATCAAAGTGTTCTAGTTCTCTGAAGAGAATTGCTCATCATTGTGAATCTTGCTTGATGGATCCAAATCTCTGAACTCTTCTATTCCAGGCTAAGGCTTCCCATCTCAGCCTTGGAATTGCAAAGGATGGGTAGGCAGTTGTGAGGAACCAGACAAGACATCAAAACCTTAACAAGATTATCTTCCTGCCATCACGAAAATCCCAACCACCCTTCCAATTATTACTACAGCTGTCAACAAGTATTGCACATCTGCAGAGCTCCCACCTTTCTGATGTTTGGGGCATATGTGATGAGTCTCAAAACAGCTGTTCTCCATCCAGTGGTTTTCCTTTCCTAGTATAAAATGGCCTTGAGTCTCACAATGGCAGTTTGGGGGTGAGGGGGACACAGAAAGCCATTCCTTCTTGGGTACAGTTCAACAAAATAGAGAAACATAAAATTCTAACCTCTAATATTCTCAGAAAATGGTTAAGTTCTGGCATACTGAAAAAAGTATTCTCACATTTTCAGTGTCAAGATAGGAACATTGGACTGGAGAGGAAATGCGATGACTTAATCCAAAGCAACATACCACAGATATAACATGACCAGAAATGAAACTGGAGCTCATCTTGTCCCAGTCCAGGGAGTACCCTCCCACCTCCACCTTATTGCTTCAAATAATCCTACATTACAAAAGAGAAAACTATGTAATTCAGTGTTTCAGTGTCTCAATCTAGCTGCTTAGCAAGTGAGGGTTCAAACTGACAGCAGGATTTCAGTGTCCTGGAAGTAGCATCTTTTGCAATACAGCCCCTTGCAGATTTTATTCTGCTTCCTCTTAATTCATCCCCAAATTCTTCCTATTTGTCCCATGTCATGCCGTGCCTGCCCAGAAGAGAAAGAGAAAATACCCCAGAAGTGGTGGGCAGACCGACTTGCCTATGAGTGTTCAACTCTCTGGGCACTTGTCATGGTTTAGGGACACGAGGGTTAAAATACTTACATGCCTGGAGGCCTAAAATTCCAACAACAGTAAACAATAATTTTGCATACAACATCCTCTTTCTAAAAATGTTCACACCCACCCTCTCCACCCCCAGTTAGGACAGTAAGGCCATGTTCTCTTAATGAAAAGCTCTTGGTTAGTTCCTAGACTGAAGGAGTAAGTCTAGGCAGAGGGCAGTGCTAAAAGGGAAGAAATCGGGATGAGTACAGAATATCATGGTGTGGCAGGAGGTGTGTGTGTAGGGGCTGGTATTCTGTCATGGGTGGGCCCACCTATGGGATCAACTCTCCCGCCAGGAGTCAGGAAACCCCTTCCTCATCTTCCAGCCCCTGAGATTTGAATTGAATGTTTATCCAGCTGCTCTGTTTCTTCCTCAGATAGCTCTCTTACTACCCCTCATATCGTTCCCCTCCCTGCCCCTTTCTGTTCCTGGACTCTCTCTCTGCTCACCCCACCCCCTCCAGTCTGAGGCAGCCACCTGGGGACCCTGCTATCCAATAATTAGCCAGGGCAGCTGCTAAACCAAACAAACTCCAGAGATCCGCAGCTGTCAGAGCAGCGTCCTGCCTGGAGGAGGGGGAAGCCAGAGGAGGTCCACCAAGCCTTCTCAGGTGGCCAGATGACGCCTAATTAGCCCCCCTGCTCCGGAGGCCTCACCAGATGGGCAAATGCCTGGAAGCCTTGGGGAGCCAGCAAGACGCTCTGGGAACTCCCAGCATGCTGATTCCTTTCCAGCTGCCTCTTGGGCAGTGGGGGAGGATGGTTAAAATAGTAATTGGCACCTTGGGTCAAGAGATGAGCCTTTCCCTGCCAGGAGGGAAGATGCTCTGCTTCCCCATGGGCAGCCCCCTACTCACCCTTCTCCACCAGCTTGGGTTCTGAGTTGTTGATGCTGTTGATTGAAAATGTGTGCTTTTTTAAAAAAATGCACACCAGAGGAGCTGGCACTGGGAATATTTTTCTAAATCTAAACTATGCACACCATGAATTCACAAAAAGCAAAATTTGTGAATTTTGAAACTTGAGGGAAATACATAGGTTTCATTCTTTTTCTCTCCAGCCTGCAAATGTGAGCGGCAGACAGCGTGGCAGAGGGAGGGTGAAGCAGTTAATAATTTAAACTTGACAGACTGCTATTTCTGGGCAAGGAAGAAGTCAGGACACAAAAAGTAAGGGGAAGGGGCACGATACGGAAGGCATAGGTTTTACATTTCAGAGTGTGACCAATGCCCGCAAGAGAATCCTGCGGTTCTGCTAATCAACCTGGCCACTGCACCACTGGCTACCCACAATGTGGTCGTATCTACAAGCAAAGAAGGTCGTCAGGATCCAGGCAGGAGAGCAGAATCTTACAGTGCCCTCCTCCCACTGTGCTCTGTCATCATTAGAAGGAGTTTACCTTTCAGTACCCAGCAAGGCAGGACTGGAAAAAGTGGGAATGAAGGTTGCAAACACTAAGACGGAAAAATGCAAGAAGCAGCGCTGAGAATGTACCACACGACCTCTTTGCCCTTCCCTTTTACTGGCTTCCCTAACTCTCCTTTTGTGTGACAAAGGATGTCTTTGCCTTTTGATGAAGACAATGACATCTGCGGTGTTCAAGCTCTTGACTCAAACAGCCTTGTTGTAGAAAAATAAAGGTTACGAAAACAGGAGAAATCTGCCTGCTACCACAGCCCTCGCGCCTCGGTTTGTGATTCCCTGCAAGCGCCCATATGGATTCGGAGAGGCAGCCCATGTGTTTCATCTGGTGGTTTCCTTTTTTAAGCAGTCGCAAAGTGAACTCACATCAGAATTGGTTAGCTTATAATCACCCTCTAGCCCAGTAATGATTGTTTTCTAATTAAAATATGAGGAAAACTTTCAGAAGAAAATGTAATAAGACTGAGAAAATAAGCATACAAATAATATTCCTTATTTACCCTTGCGATTAATGTCCCTTACTTATGGGACCAATGTGAGAATGGATTACATTTTTGGCCAGCAGAGGACCAAGCTAACAGCCAAACGTCTTTGAGCAATCTCAGCTCTCTGTAGTTTCTGGAGTATAACATATTTTCTGCCGGCTTTGGCTGATACAGTGGACATTAATTGTTAATTCTTCTCCAACAGCCGTCTGCTGAAACGCCGATTCCCTGCAAATCTGGGGAAACAGCGCCATCTAGCAGCCTTTGCTCCAAGTGCTTCAAAGCTGGGTTCATTGTTGACTGGGCTAGGTGGAAAGAGACAGTTCTTTTGGGGTGGACTAAGTTGGAAAGATGCTCCCCACAAATCCACCTCTGGTACCTGTGAGAATAATCAGTTTGCAAAAGTCTGGGCTCCATTTTGCTTCAGGAAGACAGCTCAGCTTTCTACTCTGGATGGATCAGCGGAGTTTCATAACATTGCATTAGCATAGAGCATTTTATCCAGAAGATACCTTGGGGCCATAGGTTTAACAGATGAGGAAATTGATGCCGGGAAGAAAAAGGTACCTCTTCAAGGGCACACAGCTAGTGTGTGTTTAAGTCAGGCTCAGAAGCCAGAACCAATTCTACCATTCCCAGAATAGGAACAACCATTTATCAAAGGCTAGCTAAAGATGAAGGCAGGAATAAGACACAGAAGTTAGAGCATCCATCAGTAAGCAGAATCTTTCTGAATCTATAATATAATATCAGTGGTATGGCAAGATGCAGATTAAACCCAAGGGCAGATTTCGACCTATGTCTAGAACACAGGCACATGCTATGTGTTAGAGCATCCATCAGTAAGCAGAAGGGATGGGTATCTTTCTGAATCTATAATATCAGGGGTATGGCAAGATGCAAATTAAACCCAAGGGCAGATTTTGACCTATGTCTAGAACACAGGCAAATGCTATGAACAAATCTTTGAGCAGCCAAACACTGATTTGGACTTATCTTAGTCTGCTTAGGCTGCTATAACAAAATACCTTAAGCTGAGTAAGTTATAAACCATAGAAATTTATTGCTAACAGTTCTCAGGGCTGGCAAGTCCAAGATCAAGACATCAGCAAATTTGGTGTGTGGTAAAGGCCTGTTCCTCATAGGTGGTGCCTTCTGTGTGCCCTCACATGGTGCAGGGGGAGTGGGGCTTGCTCAAGCCTCTTTTATAAGGGCACTAATCCCATTCACCAGGGTGGAGCCCTTACGACTTAGTCCCTTCCCACATGCCCCACCTATTAATACCATCACACTGGTTATTAGATTCCAACATATAAATTGTGAGAGATACCAACATCCAGACCATAGCAGGACCATTCCTCAACCCAGCTTCCCTGTGCTCTGACCAGTCAAATTTTTCCCACAGAGAACAACGGTGGCAGGTTTTAATTTTAGAAACAGAGGTTTTCAGGTTTTTCACCTCCAAAGGCTCTTTGTAACTTTAACTTCATATGTGTCAGACTGTCTCTCTCTCAGTGAAGGAATATCTTGTAAACTCCTCCCGTCGAAGCTGGAAGCTGGAAGAGACCTCAGGGAAGACTTCGGCCAGCAGGGCTCACCCCTGAATGCACATCTGAATCACCAGAGGAGATGTAAAAACATCAGTGCTTAGCCCCCACCCCAGACCAATTAAATCAAAATCTCTAGCATAGGACTTAAGTATTCGTCCTTTTTAAGTTCCCTGAGTGACTCCAATATGCAGCCAAAGAACGAGTGACTTCAAACCCGACTTCTCTTCTTAGAGATGAGCAAACCAAGGTTCAGAAAGACAAAGGGATGTGCCCAGTAAGCCACGTGGAAGTGATGGCAGAACTGAGACTGGTTTTCTCTTCCCTGCCCTTTGCTGCCTGCTCTGGTCTACAACAGAGTCCCTGCCTCAGCCTCAGTTGTGTAGCATGCTAGGCCCCACGGGCAAGCAGCCAGACAACCAGAGTGGGTTTAACTCTTCACACACAGCCCCTCAGACATCACTGTCTGTGTGTGACCAACTGTGTATGGGAAGTACCCTGAGCACTGGACACTCACTCAGCACTTGGGAACCTGAAAGATGACAGGCTAAAGAGTTCTAAGCAGTGTGGGACCTCTGCCCACACTGATAACATTTATTTTCCAACTCTGACTTCTGAAACTGGAGAAATAACCAGAGTAGATCTGCAGAACACTTTAGTTACACTGAGAGGAACCAGAGCCAAACTCCAATGGTCACATAACTGGCAGACAGTAGTGAGAGTAGCAGAGTTTGGGGTCTCCAGTGTCCAGCAGTTCCCCCAAAGTCTGGTTATATCCCCTTCCCTCATTA
This sequence comes from Homo sapiens, assembly GCF_000001405.40. Classification (NCBI taxonomy): domain Eukaryota; kingdom Metazoa; phylum Chordata; class Mammalia; order Primates; family Hominidae; genus Homo; species Homo sapiens. The sequence continues at coordinate 51,619,217 of NC_000018.10, read as the reverse complement.
ACAGTCACCCTAATAAACAGCCACAGGTCCCTGTGGGAAGATTGGGAGGACAATTGACAGTGTACATTGTTGGCTATGTCGCAAGATCTCCTTAAGGAGACTGGTCCTCCTCTCTTTCCCAGAGGCACTGAGTCTACAAACTGGTTCAAAGCTAGGAATTGGGTGAGGGGCTAGGACCTACTATTGTGGTGATTCCACTAGCCAGATCTAGAGCTTTTCCATCTATGCAAAACAGGTGAGATTGCTTTAGTCTGGCCATCTATTTCTGCTCAAGGAATATCATGATCAACAGCCAAGACAGTGATTTCTGTGGGTCATACTTGCTGGGCGAGGTTTCAGAGCCCTAGCATCAGAAAGTGGTCATCTCACGGGTTGATAAGAGAATTTACTGATGACAGTATAGGTTTGAAGAAGGAAAGTTTTATTAAAAAGAAAGAATGCTGCAGAAGAGGACAGCGGGGCTCCTCAGCGAGACAGGACAGAGCAAGCCGGTGGATTTTTCCTTAAGGGTATTTATGGACCTTAAAGTGGGAGCTAAATGGTAGTTTGCATGATAAATGATTTCATTTGTAGACATTTTGGTGCCTTAATGTCAGCAAGAGTTGCACAATGAATTTCAGCATGCATGGATTCTGGAGATGTATGAAAATTCTAGTTACTTATAAATTTTAAGTTGAAAAGAGGCCTGGAACCAGTTTCGGACTTCAGATAATAGAGAGGTCTAATTACTTCTAAATTCCTCAAATAAGGAGTCTTTTGGCTCCAGGTAGCCTACTTGATGGTCACCAGGTGGTTTTTGCTCTCCTCAATACTATTCTGATGACTACTTCAGCTCTGATAACCTTTACAATAGCCACACCCATCTTGTCTTTGATAATTAAATAGCGCCCCTTGGTCCCTGCCAGCCCCTCTCATCATCACCACTAAAGTCAGAGTCCTATCCAATGGCAGCCATGCCCAGTGCCACTCCTGGCGCACTACAGAGCTACTCAAGGATGCTGGGCTTCCTCTCACAAGTGTGTCTCAGCAGCCTTGGGAAAGGGAGTGGCCTCTGGGCCCTCTGTGGGGAAGCAGTTAGGGAGTGTGTGAGCCAGTCTCCTACAATCTGTTCTCCCTAAGCCTTTGGATACTTCTGCTTCACTGATGACATCCAACGTTGTCCTGTTCCCACTTGTTGGAAAAGTCTGGTCCAAGAATTGTTGCCTTATTTTCATCATGACAAATCAAAAACCCCAGAGAGTCCATGTTGCATCCAAACCACACCTCCCTGGCTGTTTCTCAAACTTTAAAATAATTCAAACATCCCATGTTAGACAAAGTGCCCCAGGTTGTATAAAAAGGCCTGCTCACAGGCCATGAAATAAATAATGGCATCAATACCAAACATTTAGAAGAGAAGGGTGACTCAGGCAATCTTAGCATAAGATCCTCTAGGGTGAGGTCTGCTGTGACCAGGAGCATCCTGGCAGGACATCAGCATGAAGATTCCAGCTTGAGCTCCCCTGACCCACCCCCCAGTTCCACCTTCTTCCTTCAATCAGGGAAGTTTAAAAAAGGAAGGTGAGGAATTTGGGCCTCTTGGAGCAGAAATAGTTCCAGAGCTTGTAACCCCTTCACCCTTGATTTTAACTTTTGACATTCCTGAGAGTAAAACACAGAGGTTTTAAGGGGTGGTAGTGTTAGTGTCATGTACAGGAATCTGCATCTGACTCCCCACTACACCTAGGGGTGACCTTGCCTGCAAGCCTTTTTTTTTTTTTTGACTTGGGTGTTTTGGCCAAACTAACGCAGGTTGTCAAATGATTCATTCCAGGAATCTTTTAAAACTGTGAGTCAGATCATGTAGCTCCTCTGTGAAACCTTGGGTTAGCTTCACATTTCACTTGGAATAAAGCACATAGATTATTCCACTGGATGTAGGCCCTCGGTGCTCAGCACCCCTTCCCTCCCTGACTCATTTCCTACCCCCAACCCTCCCACCCCGTCCCCTGGCTCACTGCCATCCAGAAACACTGGTCTCCTTGCTCTTCTTCAAAACACCTGGACCCTCGCACTGGCCTTTCCCTCTGCTTATCGTGCCCCTCCCCCTGACCTCTTAATATTTGCCTGAATGTCACCTAAGTGCCACCCTGATGGGCCCATTTTAAAGTGCATACTCCACCCCCATTTCTGCTGCTTTTTTCCATGGTGCATGTCGCCTTCTAATATATTGTATACTTTATTTATTTTGTTATTGTCTGTCTCCCCCACTGGAATAAAAGTTCCATGAGGGCAGGCAGGTTTATCTCTGTTGTCCCTGCTAAATTCCTAACCCCTAGAAAATGTCTGGCATGGTAGGTGATCAATAATGATCAATGGGGCTGGGGCTCAGTGGCTCACGCCTGTAATCCCAGCACTTTGGGAGGCTGAGGCGAGTGGATCACTCGAGGTCAGGAGTTTGAGACCAGCCTGGCCAACATGGCGAAACCCCACCTCTACTAAAAATACAAAATTAGTCAGGTGTGTTGGCGCATGCCTGTAATCTCAGCTACTCAGAAGGCTGAGGCAGGAGAATCTCTTGAACCCAGGAGGCAGAGGTTGCAGTGAGCCGAGATGGTGCCACTGCACTCCAGCCTGGGTGACAGAGCGAGACTCCCTCTCAAAAAAAAAAACTAAACAACAAAAAAGCCAAAACCAAAACAAACAAAGAAAAAACAATAATGGTCCATGGAAGAGCTAGTTGTGTGGCCAGTTTGACTGCTTTCCTTCTCTACCAAACCGGAACAATCTTGCCATGATTAATATGATTACTGTGTTTAGAAATTGTCCCAGCCTGGTAAAACATACAGATTCAGCAATTAACATTTCTACAGCATTTCTTTTTAAAATTCTTTAATTATAAACACACATGGGTGGTTAAAGCGAGAAGTTTTCACTCCATCTAAGCTTGCCATATGTTTCTTGTAAAAATAAGTTAATCTTGTCCCGCTAATAATGGGCTTCATCATTCGCTTGGGAGAGGCTTCAAGTAAAATGATGATTGTAAATAATGGGCTTCATCATTCGCTTGGGGGAGGCTTCAAGTAAAATGATGATTGTAACTCCTTTCACACTAAATGTATAATAACTTTACGAAAGTGGCCCACATTTAACCACACAGATATGCCTTGAGTGAGAATTCTATACCCGAAGATAAGCAGCATTTGTTTACAACAAGAGGAGGACACATTTCCCAGGCCCCCATCTTAATGTTCTTTTTGCCAAATGAAAGCTTTAGCCCATGAATTACTTAGTTTTTACAGTCTATGTTGAATTAAGACAGCTTTGTTATATTCTGGAAATTGATTACAAAGTAGATACATTGATGAATTGGGAAATTAATCGGATCAAAGTTATTCTTTATTTGCCAGATACTGACTTAGACCTCCATAGGCCCATTGAATATAGAAGGAAACACTTGGGGACACTGTAGAGATAGGAAGTGGAGGGCACTGGATGTCAGGAAGGAGGGGCTCCAGCCAAGCTTCAGGGATAAGGTGCACTGAGGGCAAGACCAGAGGGAAGAGGAAGCCATGCACGTGGAGGAGGGCGAGCACTGCGGAGAGAAGACAGGCAAAAGCCCCAAGGGGGAAATCAGTTTGACACCTCAGCCTCCTTTTTGACTTCTCTCCTTTCTCCCCTTGGCTGGAATCCAGACTGCTCATCCTGGCCCAGAAGCCAGCCTCCCTTTCTGGGAGATCCAGGGACTTCCCAGCCCTTGGTCTGACTGGACATCTCAGAGTAACTCTGCCCCAAAAACTGTGGTTGCCATGGACTCTAAAACTAGTTCTCCAGGTAAACAAAACTACTTTGCTCACCCACATACAGGAAACGGCAGATTTCTGGCCTTTCAACACAGGTTTTCCTCTGCCGGCAAACTCCAGCATCCAGCAGAGGTGTTGGCAAGACTCCACCTGTTTCCTGGCAGAAGCCCCAAACCACCCCACCTCACACCGGCACAAAGGAGCTCAAACCATGAAATATAAGGAAGAGCGGAGCTCCATGAAGGACAATCTGTGTGTGTTCATTCTGTTCCATTTCTCACAGGCTTGGTACACGTCATCATGAATGACCAAGCTGGACTCCCACCTCCATCCTCATCCCTGCCATTTGGGGATGGAAAGAGGGGAGTCCCCTCCTCCAGAGCCAGGCTAGGATTACAGATTAGGGACGTGTAGTCCAGGCCAGCCCCCACTCTCCAGCAGGCTCGCCCCACCCTGGAGGGAAAGCATCACAGGTAGTGGGGGAAAGAAGCCAGGCTGTGGGCCCAGCAGCTTTTCTAATGGCCAACAGTGTGCAGGCTACAGGCTCTGCTGAAATGGGTCCAGGTTTGTGAATGCATTAATGTTTTTAACTATTGTTTCCGATTTATCTCAGCCTCAGTTCTAGCACTTCCCAATTCTGTGCTCATAAGCAAGATTGGCTATTTATTTAAACAGAAATAGCATACAGAGGAAATTTAAAGGATTCTAGAAAGTCAAGGTGAACCAAAATCTCACTGAGTTATCCACTGCCTTCTCTCTGCAGTCTTTTCTTATTGTGGGGCTGCTGTATGCATTGTGTCAGGTACCTTCTACTTGTAACTTTATTTAACTGTCATTGCAATGACATGAGATGAGTCTTAGTGTTCACATCTTACAGAGGAAAGAACTGAGGCTCAGAAAGGTAGAGACACCTGCCCTAACACACAGCTGTGAAGGAGCTGGACCTGGACAAAAGGAGTGTATGGTTTTAGGGTGAGAATAGACTGCTCTTTGTGAAATCCATGCAAAGATGCCTGAAAGAGGAATAAATATTTACTGGATAGTTGTGGATGAGTTAAATTTTGTAATCCACCCTCTTAGGATGAAAGCACACGGTATCAGGATTGCATTATGTTCCTGGTAGGAAATGGGTCAACAGGAGTAGGAAGGGTGCCAGAAAGATGCAAGCCCAGAAGAGGTCTTTGCTGACTCTATGTGTTTGTTTGCCCCAGGCTGACTGAGCTGGCTTTTCGTCTCAGAGATAAGGTGAGAGATGCCTGCATTAGTCAGCACTTGCTCATAGTCCAGCTTCCTATCCTGCCTGGCAACCGGCTGGCCTGATGCATGAAGTAGAAAGCCACCCAAGCAGTGGGAAAGGAAGCGAACCAACAGGCCTGCCATTAAAAATCTCCCCACCCCACGGCTTGAAATTTCCGCTTATTTCACAGATGCAAATACAGAGGCACAGAGGAAAAAAAAAAAACTGGTCCAGAAGACATCACCAGTCAGGGAAGAATCAGGACTGAAAAGAATGGAGCAACTCACCCAGAGCTCATCCATCCATCCATCCACCCATCCATCCATCCACCCATCTATCCAGATTCATCAGAACAGTGAAGTCCTTGCAGTCATGGAGTTGATGTTCAAGTGAAGGAGGTAGATTACAAACTAATAGATATACAATACAGTGTAAGGTGATAGAGAAGAATATAAATGAGTCAGGGGAAAACCTCCCTGGGGTAACTTTGAGCAGAGACCTGAATTAGGTGATCAGCAAGGGCGAGGTTACTAAGGAGGAAACATAGCTGGGGTGTGCAGCAAACACCAAGGAGGCCAGAATGCTTGGACTGAATTCAACGAGAAACAGCAGGGTAGAAAATTATGTTGGGAGAGAATTGGTGCTGGATCATAAAGAAACTTCATATGCGAGGAACAGGAATTTGGATTTTTTAAATAGTAATATACAGCCATTCTCAAGTTTGCGTTTGGTCAGTGGGGAGCCACGTGGGTTCAACATGCATATCAGAAGTGTTATTTCTGGCCGGGCGCGGTGGCTCACGCCTGTAATCCCAGCACTTTGGGAGGCCGAGGCGGATGGATCACGAGGTCAGGAGATCGGGACCATCCTGGCTAACACGGTGAAACCCCGTCTCTACTAAAAATACAAAAAAATTAGCCGGGCATGGTGCGGGCACCTGTAGTCCCAGCTAGTCGGGAGGCTGAGGCAGGAGAATGGCGTGAACCTGGGAGGCGGAGCTTGCAGTGAGCCGATATCGCGCCACTGCCCTCCAGCCTGGGTGATAGAGGGAGACTCAGTCTCAAAAAAAAAAAAAAAAAAAAAAAAAAAAGTGTTATTTCTTTTCGGGGCCCATCTACCCTGGCCACGACATGATGTTTGTCTGCAACAATTGTAAGGTGTTCAGATTTTGTAAATCTAAATGTCATAAAAACTTTAAAAAGAAGTGCAATCCTCGCAAAGTTAGGTGGACCAAAGCATTCCAGAAAGCAGCAGGTGAAGAGCTTACAGTGGATCATTCATTTGAATTTGAAAAACATAGAAATGAACCTATCACATACCAGTGAGAGCTATGGAAGAAAACTATTGATGCAATGAAGACGGTTGAAGAGATCAAACAGAAACACCAAGCTAAATGTATAATGAACAGATTGAAGAAGAATAAAGAGCTACAGAAAGTTCAGGACATCAAATAAGTCAAGCAAAACATACAGCTTATCTGAGCCCCTCTTGCAGGCAAAGGGAAGCAGTTGGAAGAGAAAATGGTACAGCAGTTACAAGAGGATGTGGACATGAAGATGCTTCTTAAACATCTCTGTAATCATTTCTTTTATGTACATTTGAAAATGCCCCTTGGAGACTTGGAACTGCTCAATTATTAGTTTATTTTTTACATAAGATCACTTAAATGAAAGGAGATTAAAATATATATTTCCTACAAAACATCAGATACACGGATGTTAGATTGCATCTCAGTGTTAAACCTTCACCGATAGATGTACTTACGTAAATCATGAAAATTCTACTTATAACTATAGAAGTGAATTGTGGACATAAAATGCTTATGCCATTTGGATAATGGCACTAGGCAGCATTTGTATAATAACTAATGGCAAAAATTCATGGCTAGTGATATGTAAAATAAAATATTCTCTGCAGAAAATATTCTCTTTATTAATGTTATAGAAGGGGAGGATACAACAAGGAACTAACAACTTGTATGACAGTGTCAAATATTATTTTGATTTTAGTATTTCCTGTTTGGTTTATTTGCATCTTAGAAGAGCATAATGACATTGTTTGATGAAGCCTAATTATGCTGGACTGTTTTGACCTTGTTTAACCCTTCTGATAGGTAGTTGGGGATGAGAATTGAATAATCTTTGCCTGGAGTGACCCTATACTCTAGAATTTCCAATTTGGAGAATACTCAGTTCTAACTTGTGATTCCTGGTAGAACAAACTTTATTTTTCTAGCCTAGCAATAATCCAGAAGCAGAGGAATCCCAGTGCCTTTTAAAAGCTGTTATGTGGCTTTCTTTTAAAAACGCTCCTGATTTTGGAAAGTAGAATTTATGGGTAAAATACTTGTTCATTATTTGCACATAAAATAAAACCACTTAAAAAGTAAATAAGAAAAGTACTACACAGCCATGGAAGAGCTAAAAAGAACAGAATGTCATGACCTCCTTTATGTTCTTTTTTTTAAATCATTCTGGCTACCATATGGGAAGAAACCATAGAGAAGGATAAGTGTGGAAGATGATGTTGGCTGGAACTAGGGTGAGGATAATGAAGAACATGAAAAGAGGTTAGAGTCAGGTAGTGCTGTAAAAGGAGACTCAAAGTGCTTTGCTGATGGATTACAAATAGGATGTGTGAGAAACATACTATTCAAGAATGACAACATGGCTTTCAGCCTGAACATCTTACTGAATTGTGGTTGCCATTTACCAAAATGGAGTTCCTGACATAGATGTCAGAGTCTGTGTTCTATTATGCTCTCAATCTCTAGCCCACAGAACAGTCGATGTCACATAGGAGGGGTTCAATGAATTTAAATGATCAGATGAATGCAGTGATTAGTACATGCATATATACACAAACATGAATTCAACTACCCTGCTTCCCTTTGGCTTTTGCTGTGGTTTTCAATTATTTTAGCTTTTTTCAAATGAAATCTTAATTGGAACCAATGTAAGACAGGCAAATTGCAAAATTTTACCAACTAAAATTTATAATTTGACTTCATTTGTGATATTTGCCTATTATGAAGTCAATCAATGAAGCCAGATGATTCTGATGACCACAGATATTGAAAACTAAATGTTATGGATAACAGTTGCAGTTTTCTATAAGCTCTAATTTCCAATATATTTCTGTTTTGTTTGATCACATAAGAAGTGGTTACAAATGGCAAAAGTTTCTAATGTGTTGTGTGCCAGTTACTAACACCTTTGGCTCCATGTCGGAGTTAAATGTCAGTAGCTTAACCATAAGGGAATTTATTATTGATTAACAAAAGCCAAGAAATACAGAGAAGTATACCAATTAGAAACAGCACTTAGAAGACTGGAACCAGTGCTCCAAAGTAGACAATCTGGAACTAATTCAATAGCTCAACAATGCCATAAAGGACCAAGGCTTTCCGCCCTCCCATTCCACCATCAGCAGGCTGTCCTTCCACCCCTGGAGGGCCACTTCATGGTCATTCAAATGTCATCTTGAATTGCAATCTTCATAATCCCTACATGTCAAGGGAGGGACCAGATGGAGGTAATTGAGTGGTTTCTCCCATGCTGTTCTGATAATGAGTGAGCTTCTCCCATGCTGTTCTTCTGATAGTGAGTGAGTTCTCAAGAGATCTGATGGTTTTATAAGGGGCTCTCCCCCCTTCACTTGGCACTTTTCCTTCCTGCCACCTTGTGAAAAAGATGTCTTGCTTCCCATTCACCTTCTGCCATGGTTGTAAGTTTCCTGAGGGCTTCCAAGCTATGCCTAACTGTGAGTCAATTAAACCTCTTTCCTTTATAAATTACCCAGTTCCGGGCAGTTCTATATAGCAATATGAGAATGGACTAATACAGTCATGTTCATCACAACACCATAGAAAGCAGGAGCAAAGAGGCATCCAGGACAGAAGGAAACCGTTTCTTTGTAGACAACCCTCTCTTTCTATTAGAAAACATCTCTTCCAGAAGCCTCCAACAGAGTTCTCTTTAGTCCAATCAGCCAGATCTGGGCCAGGTGCCCACTCTCAGACCTTCACTAAGCTACAGGACCCTTTGCCTAATAGCTAAACAAGACCAGAGAATAATTTGAAGAAACTTTTTAATAACTAATCTGGAAGCTTGAAAGGCAAGTGGCAAAAACATTTGGTGTAAAGTGGAATAAACACTCCTTCATTTATAAAACTGGGTCATCTCCTGCTGTTGACAGTGGCAAAAGGCAATTTTGATTGGAGCTTTTCTGAAGACTTCAGAAAGTGGAAATACAAATTGATTGACATACATACACACACACACACACACACAAATACTAAAGATTATGTTTTCCCATTTTTCTTCTCAGAATCCCACTCATAGTAGTCCAAATCTCTCTTCTCTTTCCCAAGAGCCCTCTTTAAGAGCATCATCTTCTCCTGACTCTTCCCCTCCCTCAACCTCTTTCCAAAATCACTGGTCCTGATTTCTCCATTTGCTCACCCCAATCTCCACTATCTTGATGTATGAAAGGAGTCAGCAAACTTGGTACCTCTCTAAGGGTGGAGAAGGACATGACCCATGGGATGCACCCCTGCTTCAATATTTTTAAGTCTTTCACTTGATAATAATGAACCGTTCTCATTGCCCCTCACAGATACCGGTCAAACCAGAAGTGTCTCACATTAGCAATAAGGGTAAAAAAATTACATACCATTCAACATTATCAATATGTAGCATGTTATGAGTGAACCCACTAACCCACTGACTACAGCAACATGACATGAACAGGCTCTGAACAATGAGCCCAGGGTCCTGCCTGGCATCTACTTTAGTATGACCCACATATGCTTTAGGGCTAAGCTCTTTTATACAACTTTCTGTGATTAGTTAGATGCAGTCTTGAATTTTTTGTAAGCTGGTAGTATTTTTTCTCAAGTTAAAAAGTATACCAAAGATGGTAGAAAAAGCTTTATCTTGAAGGTTGCACTACTACACACACACACACACACACACACACGCACACACCACAGAGAGAGAGAACCTGACAACACAAAGAAAGATAGTAGTCACTAATATTAACTTTAAAATAGAAAATATTTACTGTGGGTCTTTTTCTTTAGTCTATAGTTTTTAGATGAGTTAAGGATATACTTTTTTTTTTTTTAAATCCTAGATTCATCTCATGGCCGGGTAAACATGAGTTGCAACTAGTTTTTCACATTATTTTTCCAGAGACCTTTGTAAATACTTAAATGTATTAACCAAAGAGGAATATCATGTTAACACGTTAGCAAGAAAGACAGGTCTTCCAATAAATTCCCAACCCTGCCTGTGTACAAGGGTTAAAATAAAATCAGGCAATTTGCTCTGTGAATTCCATGCAGTTGTCCCCTCTTTAAGAGCTATGTTGATTCTCTTTCCACTGGAAGAATTTTAAAATGTAGAAATTGAGCAAAAAAGACTCTGTGCCTGAGTGTGGAAAAGACCATGTCTCAAATCAATAGAAGACCCCACTCCCCACCATGCACAGGCTATTTGAAAAACGTATTTCCTGGAATTGTGGTTGTATATCTCAAAGGCAAAGACTGGGTCTCTCTTTCTTCTCCACCTTGGACAAGATAACCTAGTGATAATAATAATAATAATACCAATAAGGCAGAATGGTTGAACTATAGGAGAGTCTTGAGTCTCATTTTCAGTTCAATTTTCAGCATCAAAAGTTCAAATTATGAAGCATCACCTCTGATGAAATTGAAAACTGAAAGACTACCTGTGATTTCAAACCAACCTGAACTGAAATTTTCTGGCTTAGAAACTCTTCAGAAATTCTTTATGCACTTTTGATTTGAAGTAATAACTTCATTTTAAAATAAAGTAGCTATAGATGTTGAGGTTGACTTGCTTTTAATGACTGTGGGTTTTCTCAACCCAACACAGGACAACTAGCCTGGCCTTAGTCATTGCGCCAAACGAGTTAATTAACTCCATGGCTACTGTCCTATCCCTATTCTTTGACACAGATGACAGATAGGAAAAGTTATTTGCAAAAGCAACTCCAAGCCCCAATTTGCCTATATCCCTTAAGCCCCTTCTATACAGAAACTGGAGCTGCTTCTGTCTGGCCCTGCCTTGCTCTCTGCCCCCTTAGCTGAGCCACTTGATATCTTTGCAAGCTCAGACCTTACCCAACTCTCTCAGCCCAATGGCTCATCAGGCAAAGGAAATGTATGATTATAGATGTTCTGTCAGTATCTGCAGCTGGTTTTGTTTCTCTTAATCTCCATTTTCTACTCAATTCATCCACAGTTACCTGGATCATAAGTAACTGTATTCCAAGACATAGCAATAAAAACTTCATGCAATGTTTTTCATAGTTTATAAAGCGTTTTTCCTCTTTTTAGAATCATATATCCCAAGAGCTAGAATTTAACCATAAATTATGCTTTTCCTCATACTTTAGTTCTTAAACTAATGGTTTGTTCATTTAACATTTTCAGTATGAGTTCTTAGCTCACCAAAGAGCTGCTAAAATGCAATATGGTTTTATCAGATACCATGCTTTGGGAAACAATAAGAGAAAACCCAACTCAGATGATTTAAACAATGAACAAAATGTATTAACTCCCATAACTGGAAGATTGGAGACAGATTAGGACATGATTTTTAGCTCCATCCATTTCTTTGAGGACTCAGATTTCTTTCTTCTCTCTATTGTGTTTAATTCAGCAAGTTATCCTGTAGACCTCATGATCATAAGATGCCTACAACAGTTCTAGGCAGCACAGTCTGACATGACAACATCCAGAAGCCACAGAAGCAGCATATAAATTACTACTTTGCCCCCAACCTCCAGTTTTCTTTTTGTCACCTGGAAATTCTTTCACAGGAATCCCAAAGCTGCTTCTCCATCACCTCTCATTGGCTAGAAATGCATCACTTTCCCATATCTCAACCAATCACTGACAAAAGGGAAATTAGACCACCTAATTACCTTAAGGCTAGTTGTATTTACCTTGGGTTGAGACTGTAGCATAACTTTCTTTGAAAAAAAATGTACAGAAGAAAAGAAGAAAATGAAGTATAAAAAACAGCAAAGAAGAAAAGAGGGAAAGACAGATATTTGGGAAGGCAACCAAATCTGCTATAAGTTCCACTGGGGACCAAAATGTAAATAAATAAAAACATAGTCACCAATTACTCTATACCCAAAGCCACTACTTGATATGGTCAGAGTTACCACTCAGAACTGCCTTCCTAGTACGGATAGAAATGTCAACAAAGCCATTAGAAATTCATCTAATAAACAGCATTACCTTTTTTATTGAGTTTCATACACACTTCTGTATTTTAAGGTACATTACCCTAGAAGATTTTTGAAATATGAGTGATTCTTTCTCATCAAACATAAAATTAAGTTACCACCTAGGACACTAGATGCAGTTCATCTCCATTGTAGAGAGGTTTACAAATGCATTAGCATTACCTAAAGATAGATAGAGAGATACATACATACATACATAGATATTCACTACATAATGAGACTTACACTAAAACTACAGTAATCAAGGCCATGTATTATTGGCATAAGAGTAAGTAAGGAGATCAACAAAACAGAATAGAAAGCCCAGACATAGACCTACACACTTACAGCTGGTTGACAGTCAATAGGTGAGGCAAGGTAATACAATGAGGAAAGAAAAGGTTTCATTCAACAAATGCAGCTGGAAAAAAATGAACTTTGATCCCTACCTCACAGTATGCACAAAAATTAATTTGATAGATCATAGACATAAACATAAAAGAAAAAGATAAAGCTTCTAAAAGAAAATGCAGGAAATTATCTTTATCACCTGAAGTTAAGCAAAGATTTCTTAGACAAGTCACATTTCAAGAAAGACTTGTGCAGGAATGTTGAACAGTTTTCTTCATAATAACCCCAAACTAGAAACAACCCAAATATTCAATAATAGGGAAATAGATACATAAATGTGGTATATTAATAAAATAAAAGATTAACTATTAGTACATTCAACACTTGAATGAGTATCAAAAACATTATGACAAGTGAAGGAAGACAAATACAAGCATATATATGCTGTATTATTCTATTTAAGATGTTCAAGGACAAGCGCTACTAATTCAATGGGACATAAAGAACAATTGGTTTCCTCTAGGTAGGCCATTGACTGGAAAGAAACACAAGGAAACTTGAAGCAGTGATAGAAATGGTCTATATCTTGATTGGGGCTCTAATTTCATGAATGTATATAGGTATCAAAACTTATTGAATTGTACATTTAAACTCTATACATTTTGTTTATCAGTTATATCACAATGAAAACAATACATGAATGCATGAATACATGAGTGCTGAATTGTAAGTTGTATTCTTCTTTTGTCTACATTTTAGGATTTCTGGAATAATGACGTGTCTTTTAATTATGGCCTACAGAAACTTTCTAGCCATCCAGCATTGAATTTTTTAAATAAAAATGGTATTTATCTAGCAAACCGTTTACTACAAATAACATATAGGCAGAGACCTTAAATGTACAGCTCAATAATTTTTCATAAAATAAATTCTCCACATGTAACCCCCTCTCAGATCAAGATATAAAACATCACCAGCACCACAGATCCTCCCACTGACCCAAAGTGGGGGAAAAGATATTAGGAAAAGGTTGCTTGTCACAAATCCGGAGAATGCAATTCAAAGCAATAGAATTTCCCAAGTTTTCATAATAACCCCATGAAAGAGATATCACTATCTCTGTTTTATAGGTGAGGAAACTGAGTTCTGTAATTAGCAAAGTCAGAATTCAAAACCAGATGGGTCCAATTCTGATACCTGTGTTCCTTCCATGTACATCAAACAGAATATAAAAGAAGCAAAGAAAAATTCATGCTCCTTGTCCATTAATCATCATAATCTATACTTTTCAAATATACAGTCTCGGTAGAATGCCAGCTTTATTTACAATACATGTTTTTATAAAAGTATTGTATAAATATATTTTTTAAACATATATTTACAACATTCTGTGTGAGGACTAAGCTCCAATTTTTTTTTAATCTTGCCCAAATTCCTATCTAAAAGGTCTGGGGAGTCATGCCCTACAAACCATAAATTCTTGTCAGACAGGTTTTATTTAGCCCTATATATTGTGACTTTCTTTCCACCCTGAATCTGGCATAACATTATGAGACAAGCAAGAAAATCAAAATATTTTACCCCAAAACTTGTTTATTTGCCAGATCTTGAAATGGCCCCGCCAAGCTGTCCTTTGTGGGAAAATGTGAATCTGTAAAGAAGCTCTAATTACATAGTTAGATCTTTTTCTTCCAGGCCCTACCAATCCTGAAGAGATTCAGTCAGCATCTAGCATCTTTTTAAAGGTCTGAATTGGAAACATTTGTCATCTATTGTCTCTAAGGTCGGCCACTATAAGACATCAAAATAACCTTGGTCTCCACAGTCTTTTATCCTAACCTGAACATTTATTTTCTATTGATCCCAGATCTTTAGACAAACTCAACCAATTGTCAATCAGAAAATGTTTAAATTTACCTATAGCCTGGAAGCCCCCCTTTGCCCCCACTCTTTGAGTTGTCCTGCCTTTCTGAACCAAACCAATGCATTTCTTAAATATATTTGATTTATGCCTCATGCCTCTCTAAAACGTATAAAACAAAGCTGTGCCTCAACCACCATGGGCACATGTTCTCAGGACCTCCTGAGGGCTGTGTCAGGGGTTATGGTCATTTATATTTGGCTCAGAATAAATTTCTTTAAATGTTTTACAAAGTTTGACTCTTCATTGACACATGTAACCCAAGAAAGGAAGGGATATGGGAATACTTTACCGTGAGAAAATGGAGAAGTTGAGCTAGCCTCATGATCACAGAGCCAGGGCCAGGATGGGACTCCCCTACTCCCTGGGACTGTAATAATGTTTCACAGTCATAGGAGAAATTAGCCAAGCACACCCATCTCCTGTCACCTGCATCTCACCGCAAGTCTGAGCTACAGGGGTAAGTGGGTGGGATGCAGGGATGTCTTGGTCCCTTCTCCACCCCTTACTCAATGCTACATTCCCTTTTCTCAAACAAGCAGCAGAAGAGAACCGGGGAAAGGACATTTTTTTTTTCAGGATTTTGTGTTTCAATTGATTACTCCTCCCCTAAATTTATGAATTTACAAAACATCATTGCTTAACCTCCCCATCCCCTGCCACACACACACACAAAAGAGTAACCAATGATAGAAAATTCTACTTAATTAGAGAAGGAAGAAATATTTTAGAGATAAGTCTTGGCGCTACATAAACCAGGCTGTTGGTAAATTCTAAAGATTAAAATGTCCAGCAACCTAGTAGGTACTACTTGTGCTGAAACAGCCTCTCCATTTAGAACTGAGATTTTCTTTGAACCACATCACTCATGATAAGGATAAAGACTTCCCAGTCCATTGACTAAGATAAGCGTTTAAGTGGCCTAATTATCCCTGAAGTGGCAAATCACCCTTACAAGAAAGCTAATGCGTTTTGCCAACATAGCAACGATCCAACTGTTCCTTTGTCTTATAATGATTGGGTTAACAAGGCAGGAAACACCTTTAAAATCAAGTTTGTGTACATCTTGATTCATTGTAGCTGTCTAAAGTAGTTTTCCCAACTAGGGGATAGAAAGTCTTAGCCACTTGGACAGCTGGCAAAATAGAACATATGTTTCAGATGCATGGCCAAAAAAAAATTTATTTCCCAAGGTTTTTAATTAAGTATAATAATATCTGAAAAATAAATAAGTCTCCAAGCTGCAAGCAACCCTGGGAAAATGAATAATGAAGTTCTAGGAGAGTCTGGCTGCCTTCAAACAGTGATCTCTGCTAGTGGGAAAGTCCTCTTTGCTCAGCAGGGAGCCAAAGAGCAGGCCAGAGGCAGTGTGAGGATAGAGGTATGCCATCTCTAAGCCTCCATATGCTGAATCAACCACTGGCTTTCAGTAGGGCCTCAATCTTAACAGGAGGCTAAACAGGCATGTAAGAAAATACTTTTAAAGCCTAAAGTTACTAAAAGGCTAGTTCCTGCAGAACTTAGACCCAAAAAAAAAGTACAATCAATGAATTTCCTTCAGTGTCTCCAACTCCCTTTCTCTTTAAAATAAACCCTGGAAGGAATCATTTTGTAAAGTGAAGAGTTCTCTGTGATATGAATAGTTCTCCTTTCATTATTATGCCTTATATGTTTGGATTTTTATGTATTGACTTTTTCATACAGCTGTACTTCAGAAAATTGAGAATAAAAAACATCATTATATGAAGCTTGGGGAGTCAATAGAAGCCAAAGAAAAACTGCACCAAATTATTCAAAAGTACTCGGATAATTCCCTTTTCATTTGGCCATAGACAATGAACTCTTCATTGAGTCGAGAAGAAGGTTCCTGTTGGAAAACAGTGAAATACAGAGTGGCTCCCCAGAGGATGTGGATCTTCACAGGGACCTTGAAGGATATTAGGGTTTGATAGATGTTTCAACCCCCCTTCTAAAATGATTACTGCATCACCTTTTACTCCTGGATTCATAATGCTGAAACAACCTTGATGAACCCCAGTTTCTGTCACACAATACTCCCTCACTAACAATAAAAATCATTTTCAAATAAATTTTGGGAAAGGTTCATTTTAACTCCCTTATGAGAGTCAAAATCACATCTGCACAGTAGAAGCCACAAGAAGTTCTGTAGTAATAAAGCTGTTTACATTGTTTGATGCACTATTTCCAAAACATTTCACCACGGAACGCTTTTTCATTAGATTTATTTTATTTAACTCTTCAAGTGTAACACTCTTTGGAAGATGTTGATCTACTTAGGAAAATGTTGAAATAGCCCAACTTCCTCATTTAGTTGGTGGGAAAAAAAACGTTGGAGAACAGGCATGAGAAGGGAGATTTTCAAGTTAATCCATCAATTAGGCCAAGAACCTGATGGGACTTACAGTCAGGGTCTCTCTCCACTAAGTAATCCTTGGGCCACACTCATAAAGGAAGGCTACCTGGCTTTTGGCATCGGGAATGGTAATATGGAAGAGTATTTTGCACTGTATTCCCCTGTGGGAGGGGTGCATGTCACAAAGCAAATCTGCTGATTAATTTTCCAGCCAGTGCTTCTCCTCTGGAAAGAAATGCTCTGGTTCCATTCCAGTGTCTTTATAGGTTAAGTCAATGATTAAGAAATAGTGGCAGGTATCTGGCCCTCTGTCACAGGAGGTGACTTCTAGGAGTTGATACCTAACATGAGAGCCAGTCTGGTATAGAGCAGTTTGCTCCCCGGACTGTCTGACTTGCTTAAGGAAGCCTTAGGCCACTAATGACAGCATAGTTTCACCTTCATTTACACAGATTTGTTATCAGGTACTATTCACGAGCCCTAGGAAATCCAAAGCTAAGAGGTTTTAGTCAACCAAAGTTAAATTGAGGAATTAAACATAACTAAGTTTTTTTTTTAATTAAACATAAATACTTGTCAAAGTTTATGTTGTTATTTCAGGCCCAAAGAGGAATTATCCAAATTTCTTGTATGTGAAAAGAGAAAGGGTTCTGTGGTCATATGGTTCAGCTCCATCATTTCACAAATAAAGAAGCTGAAATTCAGATAAATTGGTTACATAATCAGTTAATGAAAGCTAAAAGGTATAACCAACAGAGACTTAGAGCCCAGAATTTTTTTTTTTTTCTCCATAAGTGCCATCTCCTCAGAGTCAGAGAGTGAAAACATAGACTGGGCATGGTGGCTTACATCTGTGATCTCAGCACTTTGGGAGGCTGAGGCAGGAGGATTGCTTGAGCCCCGGAGTTCGAGATCAGTCTGAGCAACAGAGTGAGATCCTGCCTCTACAAAATATTTTTCAAAAATTAGCCAGGTGTGGTGGTGCACACCCATAGTCCGAGGGGCTCGGGAGGCTGAGGTAGGAGGATTGCTTGAGCCCAGGAGGTCGAGGCTGCAGTGAGTCGTGATCATGCCACTGCACTCCATCCTGGGCAACAGAGTGAGACATGTCCTTAAAACAAAAACACCCTAGCAGCAGGACCCATATTACTGATCTTGTATTTGTCATGTTGCTGCCTCTTTTTCTTCCTCTTCTTTTTTTTTTCTTGATTACTAGTGTGTTCAATTTTTCCTCAGAACTAAACTTTCAGGGTTTAAAATTTGCCTGAACTGTTTAAACAGTTAAAACCATGATACTAAAAAAATCAGGTAAGATTATTTCTGTTAGTGAATATTTTTAAAAGGATCTGCACATTTGTAAACAGAAAATTATGGAGACTCACAAAATTGATGCAAACGATGGTTAAAATTAGAATGTTGTGCTTTCCAAGAAATAAAATAAAAATGGTACACAAGTAATTTTTCTGCTTACATAAAAGTTATTGTAAAATCCCACTACTAACTGAGACCACAGTAATTTCTCTTTCTGCACCACAGGAGAAGAGCTTCCTGGTCCAGGCTCAGCAAAGTGCCAGTTTTCTATCCCATCATCAGCTCCATCCCTCCAATCTGCTCTTAGGCCTTAAGCATTTATCGTAATCTTTAACCAAAAGAGGCTTAGCCCTGTTCCTCTCACATCCCAGTCTGTAATCTCTGGAACCTGACTTGACTTCCCAGATACAGTAAGTCCTGGCCGTGGTTGGTCAGGAAATGAATGGGACAGGAAGCTGACTGCAAATCCTGAATAAGCCCAGGGACCCCAGTCATCATCACTTGAACATCAACTCCATGAGTACAAGGACTTCACTGTTTTGATGAGTCTGAATGATGCACTGGGAGCCATGTTTGAGACAATACACTAAACCTTCCCAAAGCGGCTGGGATGTTTGTCAATTATTGCTGCTGGCAGTGGACCGTGGTCTCTGGTAGAAGCACTTCTTATTTAACTTAACTTAACTGTAAACCAAACTTGAAGCCAAACAAAGCTGAGTTTCAGTCGAGTTCTGTAGTTTACTTACTGTGTAGGATTTAGGAATAAGAAAAATAGTTTATATTTTTACAGTTATTATTCAAAAAGAGAATTTTCCTGTCAAAACATATCTGTCAGATGGAACAACCATGAAAGCATAGACTGATCAGTCACAACCTTGGGGGACGTAAACTAAAAAACTAATCTTGGATTATTAAAGTGGTATGATTTAAAGTAGAGAATTTATTTATAAAGCCTTTTAGAATAATTTCATTGTATAAAAATTGCAATGTTTGGATTTCCAGGTAAAATCTTTTCACCGCAGCTCTTGGTATTTGGGTAATATTTTTATTATAGCATTATACCACTGGGCCTCTACTAAGTTCCAAGTGATTCCTTGTGTCTATAAAGTGGCTCAGAATGTTGATCTCATTCATTGCATTCAGTCTCAACAGGTTTGCCAGCAAGCAGGGAAATGGGACTTCTTCTTAAAGAGAAAACTTCCCAGTGGAAGATGGGAAGAGATGGAAGCAGAGAGTGAGTCTCTCTGCCACCTTGACTGTGGGGAGTCCAGGCAACAGGGCCTGCACAGTGGACCATTCTATGAAACCATGAATCCATAGAGGCAAGCTGGAGCTAGGGAGGAAGTCAGTCTTGGAGGCTAGACTACAGCAAATTCGTTTTCCAGGATAAGCTCTGGAAGGTGAAAGAGCCTGTGAGCCTGGGAATGACCTAGAAAAAGGTAATTTCAGAAACCTAAATTTTGCAACCTGTTCTTGTTTCTAATATTTTCCTGTATGTCTCTGTTTATGTCTCACTTGTAAATGAATGATCCATTCTAAAATGGATCTCACTTGTAAATGAATGATCCATTCATTTTGAAAACCCTGACTTGCCTCAGTTGTGATCAAGGGAGTTTGGAGAATAAGATTTATCCCTGATCTGACGACAACTCTAGTGGTGCTGGCCCCTTCCTAGAGGCCAGCCAGACATGGGAGGCAGGGATCGATGGACACACATCCCACAGGGAAGTTGAAACTCAGGAAAAACGGCCAAGTTTCTTTCATCCAGCCCCCTTATTCATATGAAGATTTCCTCTCTCACACTTAAAACGTGAAGGCTCTAGAATTTTTAAATGTATGCTTTCCCTTATGCAGATCTCATTCCTCTATGTGACAGCAGCAGATCTAAAATGCTAACACTCTCCTCCACCACTCTCGCCCCAAACATCTTTGATTCCTGCTTTTCAAATAACATAGAAGTAACCAGGCATGAACTCCCTTGATTTTATTCCATCCTCCCCTCCAGAAGCATAAGTACATTTATCCAAAACTTCTTCTTCCTTTCTTCAATGTCTACACGGAGAAGTATTTCCTAATCCTTTCTAAGACTCACCCTTAATCTCAATCCAGTTTTCTTCCTCATCTTCTGGAACTCATGCACTGAATTAGTTCCTTTCCTTTCAAATATTCCCTTTCTATTAAATTCTTCTTCCATCAAAAAAGAGGTGGGGGAACTCTTTTGGATATTCTCCCTAAATACAACCATCCATTTTTCTTCCATTCTGTCAAAATATGTAAAAGTGTAAGTTATATTTACTCTGTCTACTTTTTCTACCTCTCTCACTCCTCAAAATTCTATGACTTAGGTCTTTCAACCACTCCCCCCAGTTACTCCGGACCTCTTAATTACTGGAGGAAGAGATTCAGACCTTGTCCACTGACTTGCCCTGCAGGTCTCCCTGCCTTCAATTCCTCCTAAAGCACAATATACTGCAACACTGCTGGACTCTTCTGCATCACCCAAAGATGTTATGCACTTGATCTGCCTTCCTTGAAAAATTACCCTTGTAGTTCAAGCAACAAACTCCTACTCATCCTTCAAAGCCCAGCTCAATTTTTACCTTCACTGTGAACTTTTGACAAGTCCTCCCTCTCCTCTTCCAAGAAGAATGGACACCTTTCTGTGCACCAAAAGCACCATGTTGTTTCCTCCCTTGTATAACTTTCAATGGTCTGTGATGGTAACTGATGCTCAGATCTTTATTTCCTACATTCTAATTTTTCTAAAAGTGATAGCAACAGGAGGCAGACAAATGCCTAGGCAGACAGGGGCAGGTCCCCTTGTGAAGCCCTATCTTCAAGCTGAAGACAGACCTGGATAAATCTACAGACTAGATTGAGAAACTGCCTTCCTCTTTGGCATGATTTCCTGTGATTGATCCCCACCCTCTACTTATTTTGCATAAACTTAACCTTCCCTAAATTTTTTTTTACACTGTCATGCCCACCTTTGAGTGATGCCTTTTCTTTAGCCTTTTTGCACACTCACACACCAATCAGCACATACTCCCCACTCTGAGCCCATAAAAGCCCTGGACCCAGCCACACTGAGAGATAAACCACCTCACTGCAGAGGTGGGGTACCACTCCCACATCCCCTCTCAACTGAGAGCTGTTCCATTGCTCAGTAAAATTCTTCTGTGCCCTTCTCACCCTTTGAATTGTCAGCATAACCTCATTCTTCTTGGACATGGGACAAGAACGCCAGAACCACTGAATACAGGTATAAGCTATAACACAGGTGGGCTGGTCACTCCCAGCTCAGCCATGGGCTGAGCTGGCACACAAGCCAGATGCAGCCTGGTGGGCCTGGTGGGCAGGCCACCTCCTGAGTCAGGCCCAGGGCTTAGGGAGGCCTAGGCAGGGGCACCTCTGGCTGGAGGTCCCTGGCTGGCAAAGTGGCCAAGAAAAATCCTGCATCAAAACTGCAACTATGTTTTGTTCATTTTTATATTTTAACATCTAATATGATGCTTGGAGCATAGTAAGCACGCAATAAATATCTGTTTGATGACAAAACAATCATATTTTAATTCTGGCTCCCCCATAAGCATAAACTGAAGGTGACAGAGACAAGCAAAAATTTCTAGAGCCAGAGCCAGGCAGCAGGAGAAGATCATTAGAATCAGTACAAGACTCTGGACCAAAATAAAGAATTACAATGAGGCTTAAATATGCACCAATGCCAATGTCAAAACATCTAAAAAGGACACTAAAAATAAAACCTAAGAATATGAAGTTCCTTGAGTTATAATTAAGAGAGTGTGTGGTGGTGGTAGTTTCTCAGGCACTAAGTCAGTCCATGCCAGGGGACCAGTACAGTGGGCACTTTCAGGCCCCAGTGACAGGTATCCACTAAGCATCATCACCAGACACAGTTGGTGTTTAGGACTTGTGCACTGGAATGGAAGAACTAAGATGGGGAAAATAAGGAAAAGATTGGCCATCTTTCCCCAGGGAAACCTCTATTCACATGGACTCTTAAGATCCATATTGCAATGGCTGAAATCTTGTAATTGAGTTTTAATGTACCTCCCATCCACAATAGAGAAAGCCTGCAAATATGTTTACTGTCTTAATCTTTGCAACTCATTTTATTGCCTCTTCAGCCTAACAATAATTCTGAATAAAAATCTGAAATTCCATGTGTTGAATCAAACATCACTTACAGAGGACTTATAGGGTGAGTCTCTCCACCTGACAACTGAGTTCATCATCCCTGCCCCACCAGCCCATATTAACTCTAGTCTTATGGTAAAATTTTCTTCCTTTTTTCAAATGATTCAAATAAAATTATGACCATAGTGACTTTTTTAAGGTCAAAGCAGAAAGGAAAAAACTGGAACAAAAGCAAATGGCTGGCAGAGAATCAAGTGTTCTTGGGGCAATATGAAAGAAATAAAGAAGGTAAACTGCACAGCTTTAAATTCCCAAAGAAATTGAGGGAGGGCAAATAAATACCTGCTGTTGAGAAGCTTTTTTCCCAATAAAGTGAGAAATCTGTTCTCTTTAACCTGATCCCAACAGGGAAATATCACAGAGGCTACTTCAACAGATGGAAACATTCCACCTGCCTCAAGGATATACCACAGCATAAACAGGTACTGTTTCTCATGTGTCTTGTTAATGTTTTCTGTACACTGAAGTCCTGTGCAATTACATAGTGTGTTTTCTCCTAGGAGCTTAGGGCCTTTTATAAAGAGCTTAATGCATTAAAAAGTGATTTCCTGACTCCTTCCATGAAGTTCGGATAATTGAAGGAGCTGTCATGATCTAAGCTGGCCAAATCTGGTTCTCCTCTCCTGAGTCAGATATCTCTCATGCAACACTCTTCTGACCCACCTTTTACTCCAGCTGCCACTGTAGAAACCAGCACCCTGTGGGTGTACCTTGAGGGGCCATGCCTAAGCTGCACTGAAATCTCTTATTTTCTTCTGGGGGCTTCTCTGATGAGAGGTAAGGGA
This sequence comes from Homo sapiens, assembly GCF_000001405.40. Classification (NCBI taxonomy): domain Eukaryota; kingdom Metazoa; phylum Chordata; class Mammalia; order Primates; family Hominidae; genus Homo; species Homo sapiens. The sequence goes on along the minus strand of NC_000018.10, from coordinate 51,595,975 downwards.
TACAGTAATGCATGAGCAACCTGAAAGTAGAAGGGACTTAACCCCCCACGGTATGACCAGTGGGCACATGAGCTAATTAATCAACACTCTCTCTGGGGAGTAGACTGGTGATTCTCAAATGTGAACATGCACAAGACTCACCTGATGAGCTTGTTGAAATACAATATACTGACCCACCCCCTCCCCACTTCCACCACATTTTGGATTCAGGATGTCAGGATGATGCCCATGAATTTGCAGGTATATCACAGTCAAGGTGATGCCAACAAAGCTGATCTACATTTGTAGAACTTTGGGGCATCAAATTTTGCCATGTATTCTGTGCAGGTCCTGAGGCTCCCAGCACAATTAAGCTATAGTCACCCACAAAGATGGCCGACTCTTAGTGTGTTTTTGCAATGCCTTCCTTGCCTCTGTTTCACTCTCCCCAGCCCTTTACTGCTGTTTCCTGGGATCACTTCCCAAATAAACTACCTAAAATGCCCTTGGCTCAGGCTCTACTTTCAGGGAAACCCAGCAAATGGCTCTTAACCTCCATTTGCCTTCAACTCTTCTACTGGAGTCACTTGGCCTTGTCCCTTAGAAAATGTAGTTATTAATTCTGCCTTCCTATTGCAGCAATAACATGTAATCAGAACTAACAACTTGATGTAGCTGTTCAAGCCAGCAGGGCTTCTCTACAATCAGCTATTTAATGGGAGTTTGGGATGGTGGCATTGTTTTATGGATTTAAATGAAGAACTTGGTTTCCTAACTTTTAAGTTGTCCATAAGCCCACCAGGGGCTTACATATTTTTTAAAGGATCTCTCACTGCATTGGAGAGTAACACATAGCTTTTGGCATTTAATATTTACATGTTAGGTTGTACCTACCCAACAAGCATTCCTCTCTTCTAGCTAATAGCACCTGGGTTCCTGCAGTATCCCAGCTCCGGGGCATGAATTATAATTGTCTGATCTAATCATGGCTACAGTACAGAAAACCATTGCCAGTGCTTATTTCCCAGGCTCCCTATTGCTGGTATGTGTGTGTGCAGAATACCTAATTCTGGCCAATAAGAATTAAGAGGAAGTTTGAGAGTGCTTCCGAGAAATAATTTTTATCTCCACTGAAAGAAGGAGTGATCACTCAAGGACCTCTTCATATTGCCTGCTTGTTGCCCTCACTCTTCCTGCCTTTGAATTCAGGCGTAGTGCTTGAAGCAATCACAGTCATAATGCTTGAAGCAATCACAGCCATCTTGCAACATGAGGTCACAAGCTAAGCATGAAAAGCCAAACTGCTAAGGATGGCAGATCTGCTTAGTTAGCCAAGGGCTGCATGGCTCTAGAGTTTTTGTTATATCAAAGAATTGATATTGTCATTGAAGTCACCACTAGTCAAGTTCTATTTTTTGCATCCAAAAGTATGGCTGGCGTATATGTGACAAAAGATTTGTATTCATAATATACAGAGAATTTTTACAAATCAATAATAATGAGACAAGTAACTCAATAAAAGTAGGTGATATATTTAAACAGGCAGTTTATAAAAGAAGATATGCAAATTGCCAATAAGGCCACAGAAAATTTTTCAAGGTAATTGCCCATCTGAGAAATGAAAATTAAAACCACAGTAAGATACTACTACAAACCCACCAGAATGGCTAAAAATGTTTTTAAAATGGCAGTATGAGAGTTAGTGAGTATGTAGGGTAAGCGGAGTTCTCTAACATTGCCAGGGGGAGTGTAAAATGTTGGAACCATCTTGGAAGACAAGCAGTAGCTTCTAACAATGGTGAATGCCTACCTACACTACAGAATTGTTTTAGCCAAACCACAGGGCTGCAACCAAAACCACCCACTGCTCAGCACTGGCCACACTCAGGGCTGGAAAGGAGAGACTCTGCCACTCCAGGAGAACCAGCATGTTCCACTCTCCAATCCCACCCATCCACGTGGGGCTGCCACCTCAGATTACTTCTTCTGTCCTTTAGCACTTCATGTATGATGTTCCCCAGATGAATTCAAAGACAGAGGTGGTGTCTTATGTGATTTTAACTATTTTTTAAACCAAAACTGATTACTTAGGCTGACAGGGACAGATGCAGTTATGGAGATAGTGAGTAAAATGTTTTACATCAGGACTTCTCTGGATAATCTAGGGCTTGAGATATGTACTTTCATTACTTTATAACCTCCTAACTCCTTACTAAATAAATTTGTATTTTATAGATTCTAAATAAATATCTGTTGATTTGAATTGATTTTACAGTTAAAGCCTCAGAGAATAAATACTAAGATTCCTAGATAGCTATCCCTTGAATGTGCCCTCACAGACACTCTCTCTATAGATATAGATATAGATATAGATATATAGATATAGATAAATAGAGATATAGGTATCATTTCTTCCTTTCTATGTTAAAGAAGAAAGCATAGCAAAAAAAAATTAGGGGGCAGGAGAAGCCATGTGTCACTTTATCAAAAAGGCATTTGTTTTACCACCAATAAAATGAGGATAAAATGATTTTACTTTCCTCAGTATGGAAACACGACCAGTGATGTTTTAAGGCTGCTTACAGCTCATGAGAGAGCTAAGACTGGGATTCTTTCCTCCATAGTTGTCTCTCTCTTTCTCTGTTTTTGCTGTTTATTGTTTTTCCCTCTTCTTCAATTCTCCCTCCTTTCTCTCTTGTCCTTCACCTTGCACAAGCATGTGTCCACTGCTCCCCTTCCTTCCCTAGCACAGACCTATTGCTCAACCCCTCCTCAAGGCCCCTGGGGTCCCCACTGTCTCAGAGGATTTCTCCAGCCCTTCCTAAACATTCACCATCAGAGAAGGGCTGCATTCCCTCTACGACACCACATGGGAAATACAGAATTCTTTGGAAAAAGAAGGTATGTTTGCTATTTTATTGATAGAATAAGAATCGGTAGGGGTAAACAGTTGATGGATTTTTTTCTCTATCCATTAAAAAATTATGATGCCAAGAACTAAAAGAAAAAATTATATACAAAAAGAAGACAATACTTTTATAATAGCAGTTGCATTCTTCATTTTTCTACCACTATAGGTAAAATCTATTCTTACTCTACACATATCTTAAAGGCATGATAAAATATATCTTAATGGATACTGTTGTCCCATGGAATTATATTTTAATGGTCAAAGGTGGATAGTTTCATTTAACATAAATATTGGAGAACAATATATGCCACAGAAGTGAAAGTTCTAACATCTATGCATTCTCATAATCATAATCATTAAAATAGTAAAATTTTATTCCAAGATTCACAAAATAGACATAAGGTAATGACCAAATGGATAAAAGAAGGTTTCTTGAGTTTTGTCAAATAAACAAGGAGCCCATAATAAAAAGATTTCTATTTTATGAGACATCTGACCTAAGTTTAATTCAAACTATACTAAACATCAATTAAACATCATTAATGATGGTTTGGCTTACCTTTTATAATTTAGGGATTTTAGAGGATAACTGGATATTCCTGTTGGGGTTTTTTACATTACTGGTAGAATTTTGAACTATCTCCTTTTAATTTTTTGTTACACCTTAATCTAGATCCTCTGGGAAGCAAAACAGATAAGAAATTAAGTGTTGATGCTATATTTGGTAGATGTAAACACAGGACAGGTAAACTGAGGTAAAAGGAAAGTAAGACAAGTAATAATGGAAGCAGTGCAAATGGTATGCATTGCTGTGGAAGCATTCTATTGGCGATAGCAAGTCACCAGATTTGCCCAGATCCAAGAGGTGGGAAATAGACATTGCTTCTCAATGGAAGTAGTTACAATGTCACATTGAAAGGGTGTGCATACAGGGAAGGAAAGCATTATGGCCACTTTTGCAATCAATCTACTATATCCTGTCTTTTAGGATCCAAATGATGTAGTTCAAATTTCCACGCGACTTTCCTAAAATTTCTCTGTATTTTCTGTATGCTCGTGATCCCCTTGTTAATACTCTGTAAATTTTTTTCCTGTTGAATTCTCTATCACTATACTAATTATTTTGTCTCTGTATCTGCTGCTATCTCTCTGTAGTCCAATCTCTTCTCCTGTGTTACCAAAGGCACCTTTAATGCAAGACTACTGTACAATAAACTGTGAAACTGTGGAGTGTTTGGAGATAATGGGGTGGAAGAAGTCATTACTACCAGTATAGAACAGAAAACAACCTAAAACTGAACATTAGACCCAACTATTCCGTTGTTGTTGTTGCTGTTTTTGAAGATTTTTAAAAATTTTTAAATTAATATTGTACATAATGAACACATCTGTTCTTTATAAGTTTTTCAGCTGTATTCACTGGCCAATTTGTTGTAGATTGTCATTTTGCTCCCACAAAATTTGTTTAAAGACTTTCTCTCTTTTGAGCTGCCAAGACACAATCCTTAAAAAAGGAAGCCTTTGAAAATAGTGCTTGAAATAACTGGAAAAATTTAAAGTCAAGGACGTGGAAGCAACTATATAGCTCTCTACACATGTATATGGAGTCATCATAGGCCAGAGGAAGGAAACTGATTTGTGCATTCAAGGGACAAATTTAGGTCTTATCGTTGGAAGATATAGGTTGACAGATTTCAACTCATTAAAAGAAAAATATTTCTAAGTGGTAAAATTGTCCAAACATTAAGGAAGTGGCTATGAAGTAAAAATTGATGAAAGCAGGAGACAGATGTTATAGAAGAGGTAATGCTTTGTCTGTGAGAGTGGACCACCAAGAATCTACAGTTCCTTCTGCTGTAATTGGGATATTTGACCCTCCAAATCTCATGTTGCAATCTGATCCCCAGTGTTGAAGATGGGGTCTAATGGGAGGCATTTGGATCATGCGGGTAGAGCCCTTATGACTGGCTTGATGGCATCCTTGTGGTAATGAGTGAATTCTTATTCTCTTAGTTCCCACAAGAGCTGGTTGTTCAAAAGAGCCTGGCAGCTCCCCCTACTCTTGCCTCTTTTTTTGCTATATGATCTCCACACACTCTGTCTCCCTTTCACCTTCCACCATGAGTGGAAGCAGTCTGAAGCCCTCACTAGAAGCAGATACTGGCGCATGCTTCTTATACATCCTGCAGAACTGTGAGCCAAATAAATCTCTTTTTTAAAATAAATTACTCAGTCTCAGGTACTTCTTTATAGTAACACAAAGGAACGAAGACACCTTCCAAATGTAGTATTCTGGGCAGAACTTAACGTAAAAGCTTCCCAGTGTCATACCATGCAATATAACCAAAACCATCTCATGTAAAACCTTCAGCATTGTCTAGAAGCTGTCAAGTGTAATGATCTTCAAAAATGAGGAACATATTCTTCACAGTTACACAAAAATAAGATACTGGGATACAGAAAAAAATAGATATTATATTTTTATTTAATTTTTATCTAAAGTATGAAAATTAAGCTTTTCTAATATTGTATATACAGACTGACAGTGTCTTTATTTACTCTATAAATAAATATGCATAAACATAAGTATATGCTCATTTTTGAGACCATTGAAGTGCATTTATTTATCCAGGTAAAAAAAATTTATTAAATGCTGTGTCCCAGACATTGTTCTAAATGCCAAGGAGACAGCAGAAAACAAGATGACAATATATATATTCTCTTGGAGTTTGGCTAAGAAAGGACTAATTGTAAAGAAATAAATAAATACAGTCAACTCTCTTTATTCACAATAAGTATGTTCTATAAAGTTGCCACAAACATCGAATTAGTGAAGACTAAACCATTGCTCTTAAGAAAAGTACGGAGTTAGATTGCTGTGAGCCCTTGATTACATCTTCATCAACTGATTAATACACAAGCTTGTTTTATGTGTGTTTTTGTTTAAAGGTACCTTATCTAATATGTATATATACACCATTGATTCATTAACATTGAGCTCATGTCCAACAGCAATATAACTTATGTCTGACTACAGCATATTTAACACCATGTTTTGTATGTAAGGCATATACAGCCTTCCTGCACATAAAACTCCAGACAGCACTTCAGAACTACACTTGGGGGCCATTTTAAACAGAGAAATCACCAACAAAAATGTGGGGAAAAAAACATGGCACTAAATATATCACAAAAAGGACACCTGTTTACAAGAAAATAGATGATTACCTTGTTCAACCCTAGCTGGGAACCTGTGCATCAGGTGACTCACGTATTTTGCTGCTCTGCGCATGCCTGCAAATGACCACAAAAGTAACTCCAGTACTCGCGCCTGTAATCCCAGCACTTGGGGAGGCCGAGGCGGGTGGATCATGAGGTCAGGAGATCGAGACCATCCTGGCTAACACGGTGAAATCCCGTCTCTACTAAAAATACAAAATATTAGCCGGTCGTGGTGGCGGGCACCTGTAGTCCCAGCTACTCGGGAGGCTGAGGCAGGAGAATGGCGTGAACCCGGGAGGTGGAGCTTGCAGTGAGCCGAGATCGCACCACTGCACTCTAGCCTGGGAGACAGAGCGAGACTCCGTCTCAAAAAAAAAAAAAAAAAAAAAAAAAACGTAACTCCAGTACTGATGTTGAAGTTACAAATAACTTTTAGCAAGCAGGCAAACTCACAAATATGGGATACAAGAATAATAAGAATTAACTACATATTCTAAACAGATCATGTGGTAATAGGTGCTATGAAGAAAAAATAAATCAAGTAAAGGGAGTAGGGAGTGTTGGATGAATGGTATATATGGCATCCATTCTCCTGTTCTCAGGCCTTCAGGCTTGAACTGAAACTCTACCAGCTGTTTTCCAGGATCTCCAGCTTATAGACAGGAGATAGCTGGACTTCTCAGCCTTTGTAATTGTGTGAGCTAATCATCATAATAAATATCTATCTATGTATATTTCTATGTATGTGTATGTATGTATCTATCTACCTATCATCTATCTATCTTGTGTTTGTTCTATTTCTCTGGAGAATCCTGACCATGGTGAAAGTAAACACACCATCTCATTTACTTTCCAAATTGGAAAATTTTGAAAGCAAAGGAGAATGCTATCAAAACTTACACTAGATGACAGGTATAAACTGGAACTGTCTCTGGCAAACTAGGATGTTTCATCATCCTACTTATGACTGATTTTAAGCAAATTAAGCAACACCCCTGCTGCAGCTGAAGAATGCTAGATGCCACCTTGCACAGCCCGTGCCACCAGACTTAGAGTTGCCTCTGCCTCTGCCATTGCGTCTGCTGCCAGAATGAATTCTCCACTGAGCCTACCTGTTTGCCTCATTTAGCAACGATTCAGAGGATGGAGATTATCTGAGGGATTGAGCCTTGCTCACATGCACACTCTAGCTGCAAGGGAAACCAGGAAAGAATCTGTCATTTTTGGACTGCTACCTTGCCACCTTCTTTAGCAGGAGGTGAACCCTGCTTCCTACCAAGACTCATAAGGTGGCAGATTTCTCAAACACAGGAGGGGGTTACAGGCTTGAAGCAGTTAAGAAAGACCAGAAAGAAAAAAAACAGTAAATGTCCTTCAGAGTCACCATTTCTTCTTCCTCCTTAGTTGAGACCTTGAAACGCAGCCAACATCCTCTGTGTCTTCTTAATCTTATAAGACACTATTAGGAGTTCAATTTGGGAATATTTGATTAATGACATAGATTCAATCAGAGTGCATTTATTACCAGTATTGCAATAATTTCACATCGGAAGACGTAAATGTGAGCAATAAATTCACTTTCTAAAATGCCAATTTTACACAAATAAAATCAATTTGAAATTGATTAACTCATAAGCACTGGTATTTTCTGATAAAATATGAACGGTTTAAATTATTCTTAATAAGTATTACAGAAGTGTTGAAGTTTTCATGGGTTATTCCATAAAACATTTTATGACTTCATGCTTCACTGTCCATTTATAAACAGATTGCAGAGACATCTCAGAGGTTGGGGCACACCCTCTAATCAATACTCCCTGATTAGGTGCAGCATTTCTCTTTCACTATGAAGACACTGCAGAGCTGTTTTTCTTAAATACAAACAGGCACTTGCTAACTTAAAAGCTACATCTCAGTGTTTGCAATGCAGAATTCCTTCCAAAATAATAACAAAATAACAATAACAATATGTTTACTCTGTGCTGGAGATTATATTGTGTGCTTTATAAAGATTAATTTACCTAATCTTCATAATACCTTATAAAGTGAACAGGATTATCAACATAACTTTATAGATGAAAAATCAAAGCTTGCTGAGGTTAGCAATTTGTACAAATTTATACTACTAGTAATTGTTGGAGTCTAGATACTGACTCAGGTCCACTTCAGAGTAACCCACCCCCTTGGCCATCCACCTTGTACAGCACATTCACACATACACACACATTCACCATCATCATTGCACAGCTGGGTACTTGTGATTACATTTAGGGTCCACCCAGATAATCCGGGATAATCTCCCCATCTCAAGATTCTGAGCATCCTCACATTGCAAAGTCACTTTTGCCATATAAGGTAACATTCACAGATTCCAGATGCAAAAGCAGGATCTATTTGGAGGTCATTCTTCAGCCTACCATTAAACTCCTAGTCACTAACAATTCTTCAACTTCAATGAAACCTCTATGCATGAAACCCACCACTATTTCACTCTCTATTACCCCCTCATTATTTCTCTTTCCACTTTATCCAGCCTAAAGTCCCTGACCCAAAATGACAGTCAGTCCATTGAAAACATCTTTAACAAATTCACCCCCTCCCTTTTTTACACACACCTAGAAAAACCCCAACCCTTGTCAAATCAAAATGTCCACACACTCTGAACCCTGAACCTTCTCCCCAACAGCTGAACGTTTCTTCTTCTTCTTTTTTTTTGGGTCGCCCAGGCTGGGGTGCAGTGGCACAATCTTGGCTCACTGCAATCTTCACCTCCTGGATTCAAGTAATTCTCATGCCTCAGCCTCCTGCATAACAGGGACTACAGTTGCTCACCACCATGCCCGGCTAATTTTTTGTATTTTAGTAGAGACTGGGTTTCACCATGTTGCCCAGGGTAGTCTCGAACTCCTGAACTTAGGCAATCCACCCACCTCGGCCCCGCAAAGTGCTAAGATTACAGGCATGAGCCACCATGCCCAGCCGAATTTCTAGTTTTAAACCCCACTCATATTATTATGTCAGGTAACCTCAATGTAATGATAAAAATCCCGATAAGCACTCAACTCCCTAGTAACTTCCACTTTACATTTCCTGGAGTTCTTTTACATCTTCTGTCATCAAATCTCCAATGCATACTCCCATCACCAACACCACACTCAGCAGAACTTGATGTCACCCAAAAGCCATCAAGAGACTAGAATCAATCAGACAGAAGCACCTGTGTCTTCCCACCATCGAATCTCCCAAGCCACGAGAACATCCACCCTAATTCTTTCTTCCTTCCTGACACAGTGAAAGAATTGATCCTCCTCCTATCAAAGGCCAGCTCCTGGACTTTTTCAGGACAGTGTGTGCCTCTTGCTAATCCAGGCTTTTGTCCCTGCAATTGTCCCCTCTTTGGTATCATTACTTATTACTCACTATGGGGTCATTCCCACTGGTATATATGAGTGCTCTAGTTTAGTCCATCTTTTTTAAAAAAATAAATAAATCACTTCTCTCCTCATTATAATCCCTCAAAATATCCATTCCATTTCTCTGCTGAATTTCAAAGCACAACCATTCACTATATGCTAGACTTTCTTCTGGTGTTCAAATTATCAGGTTTGATTTTAGGAATGGAAAATTCCTGACACTATACCCCACAGAATCTTCCCACCAACTAGTAAGAGCCAGAAATTCAACTCTGAGGCCTTCACATTGAGGCTTTTGTTCCTGCTAAAAACACACTATGTTACTTTGTTTCCTGTCATTTATTTCTTGAGTAAATGAAGTCTCCATGGTCATGTACATGTGGATGAGGGAGGGGGATGCATAAGAAACAATGCAATAAACAAAAAAATTAGTTTGCTAATTCGGGGGTTGGGGGTGGGGCATAAAATTCCTATGTCTGTTTGATGCTAGATCAGCCTAGGAAGCAGATTCCCAATTTTCCTGGGGTTGCTGGGGGGCAGACAGAGATGATGAAGGGAAGACCAGGGGAAGTAGATGGGCTACTTCTCTCTTTGGTAGTCCAGACTCCAGGATAGTTAAGAAGCGTGGGTCTAACCTGGGCATAGGATGTGTGGACAGGCAGGCAGCAGTCAGAACTAAGTCGTTAAGTGTGGGCCAAATAGAAGAGGTGGCATATCTGGCTGACTTTAAGTTGGAAAAAGACCCAGAGCAAATGGAAAAATGTCCCCCTGTTCTGAGGCCCAAGTCCCTAATGTCATCCAATCAGTAACTCCCACCACCTTTCTCTATGGGTATCGTCACTACTCCCAGTAAATTAGGTTCCTCATGGAGGTTTGGAGTCCCACATAAGCTGAATGAGGGCTGTTCACTCAGCCTTACAGTCCACCAGTGCTGGAATCAGAGTTTCCTCTTCAGGACCATCAGCCTAGCCTCCATGAAGACACAGATGTCCAGGGAAATTTGTCTGTGAACATCATTGTGGAAGAGTTTCACTACAGCATCAGCATCTAGTTCACATCATGAGAACAAGACAAGTCCAGTCCATGGTTTTGCCTGGCCTTGGTCCAGGGAGTCTCTCTCCCACAGCACACCTTTCTCCCCAGGCCCAGTAGAGAAGATGCAGCTGGCCTGAGAAAAACTTCCCTCTCCCCAGCTCAGTGCATTCACCCATCCCATCCATTTCTTTCTTTATCTTCCTACATCTTATTCACTTTTCAGAACGTAGTTTGGGCCCCTTCTCAAGTCTGCAAATGATGTCTCTCTTTTGGGCTCCCACAGTCTGGTGCTCATTGTGTGAGAATTGCCAGTTTCCTTGTCTAAGCCTTAATATACTTGTCTGTTACCTCTCTTCCAAGGGCATCAGTGAATATTTGTTGGATAGAACTATGGCTTCTTCAGACCTGCTGAGACCTGGGGGTAAAGTGGCCACACTCAATCCTTGACATTTTGGGGCACCTTTTAGCTTCAACTTTCCTTGTTTTGCTTCTTGAGTGGGACCTATAACTTCTCCAAAATAAAGTGAGTTCTTCTTACCCAACTTAGCATGGCGAGATTTCCAAAACAACACAAACCCAACTCCAAAGACTTGAAGAGCAATGAGCATCTTTAATGAAGACCTTTTCATTTTAAAAGGGAGGACAAAGTGAAGAGAGACCCGCACTACCCAATGCATAACAATACCTTCCTTTGAAGTTCTTTTCTCGTCTCTTTCCGCATCTCGCCCAAAGCCACATCACCACAGCTGATACAAGTTCATCTCCTCCCTGCTTTGTAAAAGCTTCAACTTTTGCAAGTTCTCTTTCTTACCTCACCTTTCCTCTCTCTCACTCCACCTCCTTTGCCCACCAAAACTACCTCCTTCACCCACCAAAACTACCTCCTTCCACTAGACTTCTCACCCCACTACCCCTGGAAGCACATCAATGCCTTGCCCAACAAATGTGTCTTTCTCTTTCGAAGGCAATAGAAAGAAGAGATAGTAAACACTTAACACATTTTTTAAGCACAAGGAAATTGGAGAAATTTGTCTGATCTTAGTATCTCTACATGTTCTTTAACATATTCTCCATTAAGACTGCAATTGTAGAAAAAATGTTAACATTAAGAACACAATGACAATACAAGGCAGAGAAAACAGAAGTCCCAAGAGAGAAACAAGGCACTATAATGAGGCCATGGGGAAGAAAACTGAAGATCTTGGGTGAACAACTTCCCTTTCCCTTCTTTGATGTGGTACATTTAGCCCTAGAAACAGTAAACTGGCCAAGACCTCAAGGTTTTCCCTTGCATATTCAGGCTACTCCTACATCCTGCTGGATTCCTGTCACATTTCTCTGCCTTCTCCTCTAACACCTCTATTCCAACAGCTTCCACCAGCCATTTGGGGATCTAGTTCATTTCAGAGCTTCACAGCTGGATGGAGAGAGGGGTACTCAAGGGGAAGCTTAGGGAAAAGGTAGTGTTAGCAAATGGGCTCAGTTCTGGGAAAGCTGAAGTATCTCCATGCATGGGCAAATACAACTGCTTTCCAGTTCTGAACGGCTGAGGGGTGGAAAAAAGGCCTCCTCACTTGCTCTGCCTGGAGAACTGTCTTTGAGAGAAAAACTACACTTACTGACCACTTACCATATATAAGCCGAACACCTGTTCATGCCCTTTACATACGTTAACTCCTCTTCTTCTCAATAACCATATAAGGTAGGTGTTGTCATTATGCCCATTGTTTTTAGACAGGGCCCAGGAAGGAAGCCTGTCTCAGAACACATGGCCAATAAGTGGTTTGGGTGCCCATGCCCTGACTCCTTCCCTGCTTTCTTGACCCCAGCACTGTACCTCCTCTTTAGCGCACAAGGAAATGTATTGAGCAGCTTCTGAATGTTTGGTTTAATCCACTTATTTCCCATCTTTTCTCAGGGGTGGTGGGTTGTGTTTCTGGGTGGAAGAAAGAGCTTAAAATAAAACCAGGGAATCACATTCTGGCATTGTGTCCATGGGAATAGAAGACACTTCTTCTAGGCCCTTATGGAAACACGCAAGTGTTCTGTGGAGCCCAGAAGCTCAAGGTAAAATCCTCAGTATGAACCTGCAATCTGTAATATAGGGGTACATGGAGGGACCACTCCACCCCTCAAAGTTCCCCGCTCCCTCAGAACTTCTTATTTTCTTGGCTATACATCCAACTAGAAATTCAGGTTGACAACTCTTATTGTCAAATACCAATACTAAGGCATATGATTCAAACCACAGCAGCCGCCACCCAGCGGAGTGCCCTCTCATATACACTTTGACATAGGATCCTGCATGCAACAAGTTTGAATGAATTGCTGTCTCTCTCAAAACTGGATTTAATCCCTAATATCAGCATTTGGTTGGTACTCTTTCAGAGATATACCTTGAGCATTCAAAAAATACTTAAAAGATTCATTATTTTACTATCATAACAGTAATAATGACAAAGGCTAAAATAAATTATTTATGTCTAAATCTTTCAAGAAGATTAGTCTGGCAGGCTAGAAAATCCAGCCAGTATTTTTTAAAATGTTTTTAGTTTTCTAGAGACAGGACAGGGATATCGCTATGCCACCCAGGCTGGTCTCAAACTCCTGCCAGCCAACATAACATGAGTCAGCCTCCAGCCTCCTTCTCCAACAGCAGCTGCAGTGTATCTCAGTTGCTTGATGTCAGCCAACACTCAGGTTCTGAAATTACTGAATGCATTACTTCCATTCCAGTGTGCAAATAGGGTAAGTTATTTTTTTTAAGCCAGGAATGAAAATAACCCTGTTAGGAATCAGTGCTATCAACAAATGAGGTAGGCTGGGCATGGTGGCTCATGCCTGTATTCCCAGCGCTTTGGGAGTCCAATGCAGGGGAATCCTTTGAGGCAGCAAGTTCAAGACCAGCCTGGGCAACAGAGCAAGGCCCCATCTCTACAAAAAAAGTTTAAAGTTAGCTAGGTGTGGTAGTGTGTACCTGTAGTCCTAGCTATTTGGGAGGCTGAGGTGAGAGGATTCCTTGAGCCCAGGGATTGAAGGCTGCACTGAGCTCCATCATGGCACTGCACTCCAGCCTGGGTGACAAAGCAAAACCCTGTTTCAAAAATAAAAATATAAGTGAAAATTCTTCTATTTCTCAATAATGCCATATCTTTCATGAAATCAAAGAGAAAAAGCAACCAACAAGTCTAGAGTATTACTCTTCATACCAGATATTTAGATCCACATATAGAGATAATTGTCTACTATGTATAGCTTGTTTGGAGCCTTTGCCTAATAGCACCATGGCTTCATCAAAACCACTAATAACTATTAGGTGACGTAATAATCTAGGACGTCTCAAAGGATCAAAGTCTCTTTTTGGTCTGACATTTCCAAGCACTGATAAATATATTAGTGACTCAAAATAGACACTACACAAATTTCTCATTGCAATGATACTTGATTAATTTACTCCATGTTGATTTTCCAAATATGTTGTTGCATGGTCTGACTACAGAATTTGCTTTAAAAAAGACAACTTCCTTGGATATTCTAGCACAAGTACACACATACATACATACACACACACATTCCTTGGCATTCTAACTTCTCAAAATATTTAAGAAAACCTGTTCTGCACATGGATGCACAAAGGGGAACAACACACACTAGGGTCTTTCAGAGGATGGAGGGTGGGAGGAGGGTGGGAGGAGGGTGGGAGGAGGGTGGGAGGAGGGTGGGAGGAGGGTGGGAGGAGGGAGAGGATCAGGAAAAATAACTAATGGTACCTGGGTGATGAAATAATCTGTACACCAAGCCCCATGACACAAGTTTACCTGTGTAACAAACCTGCATTTGTACCTCTGAACTTAAAATAAAAGCAAAAATCCCTCTATTTGTATACATTTATAGGAGACTTATTTTGCAGGATTATTTCATTAAAGGTAAAATATTTGGTATTATGAAAAAAAGAAAAGAAAACATGTTCCGTACTGAGACAGTGGGAACCTGACTAGGTGACAAGAACTGGGGAGGGGAGGTAATTTTCGAGCCTAGGGGACTTGGAGAGATCGGAGGCAGAGCAGTCAGCACTGCTGCAGGGAATTGGGGCAACTGAGTGTGAGCAGGAGGAAGATAGAAAAAGAGGGGCAAGGCCCTTGAGGAGAAGGAATGGAGAAGTGAATAATGGGCACAGAAAAGGAAGAATTGAGATGGATTTCACCTTCTCTGCAATGGTTCTGAGTGTAGTCTCTTCTTAACAATTCTTGACAATAAATTTTATGTCCCAGTCTGCTCATCAAACCTTGGATTGGCCTTTCCAAATTTTGCACAGGTTGCTTAAGCCTTTGATGCTTCTCAAACTGCTCCTTCCAGTTTTTTGGTTAACTGACCAAACATTCGTTGGTCAGTTGAATGTATTGGAAACCTGAACGTATTGGAACGCAGTTCTACCTCCTAAGTAGGAAAACTCTAATCTGAGAGTCATATTAATCATGTCTTTTTATTTTCTGTGTTTTTGATGCTTTCACATCTTGGGAACTTGCTGACCTGCAAGGGACAGCTTCTCCCAAATTACTAGAAATGACTCATCTGTACGTACATCTTTCATATGCAAACCAACCTATCCAGGGCGCTCTCTCCTCCACACTCTGGGTCACTATTCCTCTGCTCTAATCACCACAGGGCCAGGTACCAGACAACTACAGACAACTCCGATGCTCCAGAGCCTGCTGAAATTATTCAAACTAACCAATCCTAAGCTTGCTTGCCTTGCCTTTCCCACAGAAACCACAATAAAGGCTCTTGCCACATTGTCCCCTCACTCTGCCTAATGACCGACCCTGGTGCTTCTCCCTGTGACCCTGTGGCATGGTACAGTGTGCCTGGTCCTCTTGGGAACTGTAAGTAGCAAACTGTCTTTTAAATGGCAGTCATCCTCTAATCTGTTGGCCTTACCATACCTGAACAATAATAAAACCTACATGTAGAACAACGGTAGGCAGTTTTTAAAAGTGATGGTTGGGAGATTAATTTGCAGGCTCTATAGGAGGAAAGAACTCGGTATAGAAATGGCATTTTGGATATGGATTGGTGCCTATGTATCTATGTGTACATGTCAACGTGCACACACTTGTCCTCATTAACTTTTTCTTCTCTTTTCATTAATATTAGTAATGTGTTTATAAAAAGGGCAGAGGAGAACAGACTTTAAGCTTCATTAGACTTGGTTTTGAAATTAGATTTTCTGGCATCCAAGTTCCTGATCAAGAGCACATTGAGGCATCTCTGAACCTCAGTTTCTCTATGACAAAACAGGTCAACAATATCAATCCCACATTGAAGTAGGAATTAAATGAATAATATATGTGACAATGCATCCACTGTTTGGTTATCTAGAATATACAGTGCCATTTCAGGTATTATCTCATGAAACATCACAGGTCATTGGATTTAACATCCTTATTTTTGATATGAAAAAACAGAGGCTCAAATAGGTTAGGAAACATTTCCAATAAGAAATAGACAGTAAATCACAGATAGGAGGTTAGAGACCAAGGCCTTCGGGCCACCTTCAGAACATGCTTTCAATGTTTGCTTCTGGGCCTTCATAGCTGAGCTTTATAGTTCTGTAGGAGAAAGAACCTCACCAACTAATTTAATTTCAGGTATTTTAAGATGAATCTGGTTTTCAATGCACCTGACTGTGGGGATTGGGGGTGAGTAGAGAGAAAAGGAAAGGAGGCCGTGGCAGTGACTGCAAAGGAATAGCAGGAGGGATGTTTGTGATGAAACTGTTCTGTAACTTAACAGTAGTGGTGACATACAAGTCTACACTTTTGATAAAATTTCCTAGAACTAAGTACACACACACACACACACACACACACACACACACACAAAAATGAATGTACATAAAACTGGTGAAATCTCTATGCGGTCAAGAGATTATATCAATGTCAATTTCCTGTGTGTGATACTGTACTATAGTTATACAAGATGTTACCATTGGAGAAAATGGGGCAAAGAGTACACAGGGTCTCTCTGTTTTATCTCTCACGATTACATGTCAAGCTACAATTATCTTAAAATAAAATGTAAATAAATGCTCCTGAGAATGAGTCCAGGAAGGTGGAATTTTCATTTGGGGTAGGAAAGGAAGTGGAAGAAATATGTTGTAACCAAGATGAACTACAGAGGTCTTTTAGGTATGAAAGGTCCTTAGCCCTACCCCACCAGCTTTGCCCTGGCTGTATGCAATCAGACAGGAAAGGAAGGCTTTTAGTGAGGTGCTCTAAGCCCCCTTATCCAACCTTGACACCATACTCAGGGTCACTATTCCTCTGGAGTGGCCCAGAGACCACTGCAGCCTCTGTCTCAGAACACTCCTGCAGATTGCCAGGGAATCCAACAGGGCAGAGGGAAGGGAGTTAGTCATGGAGCCATGGCTCTCACTTTTCCTTTACCTGGAGGTTAGGCAGGGGTCAAGCACAAGTCACAGAAGACACCGGCTTAATACAATTATGCATCTCAAGTTTATGCCACAGTATGGGGTAATAGTCTGTGGGTTTTGAGGTGGGGGCTTATTGTGGGTTATGCTGTCCTTTGGTATGTGACATAGTTCTTCTGTTCCAGGGGCCTCATGACTGAAGCAAGTATTCTGCTGTCTCCTTATTGTCTTCAATTAATGTGGGAATTAGTTCCACATTCCCTTCTCACTCCTTTCTCTTTCCCTCAGAAAGTCTAAGGAAACACATACCAGCTGTAGAATCCAGCGTCACGCCTGGCTTTAGACACTTCAAAGCCAGATGCTCTCTTCCAACTGGCGCCGAGCAGGACAAAGCTGGTTAAACCTGCCTTTGTGCTCCAGATGTACAGTCTATGTCCCTTTCACATTTCAAAAGTGCCTCCTTAAAATCCTTCATGCACCATGGTCCTACAACATGCAGGTATCAGGGACTGAAAACAGCTTAATAATAATGCCTCCTATGTCGTAAAGTGCTTTATTGTTTGGGGAGCTCGTGACAACCCTGGAAGAAGACAAAAAATTAATTATTTTCTCCATTTTATGGATGTGAAAATTTAGTCTATAAGAAGTTAAGAGACTAGCCATAGACACAGAGTTAGTTAATAGTGAATCTAGGATTCCAGTTCAGATTGGGTTGCCTGACCTGGTAGTTTTCACTTTACTTCACAGTTCATTTCCTCATCCTCAAACTGTGTTAAGTTAACCCCTATCTACTGAAAAACCAGACCCAATGTGCATAATAGCTCAAGCATAGAACTTTACATCTTGCTCCACACAACAGTACTAGTACTGCATGGCCCAGTAACTCAGTGAGGTTGCCCTCCTCCATGCAGTCATTCAGGGAACCAGGCTGACAGAAGCTCAGCCATCTTCACCCTGTGGCTGTGAAAGTCACCTTGGGGCCATCTCCTTCTAGCCAGCCAGAAAGAGAAGAATCACAGGTAAGTGAGTGTGGGAGGTTTTTATGAGATAAGCCTGAACGTTTGTGCACCCATAAACTCATATATTTAGATCCCAACCCTCAGGTTGATGATATTAGGAAGTGGGGCCTTTGGGAAGTTATTAGACCATGAGTGCAGAACCCTCACAAACAAAATTAGGTCCTTAGAAAAAAGGACTCCAAAGCGATCCCTCCCTTCTTCTGCCATGTAAGGTCACAGCAAAAGACACCATCTATAGACCGCGAAATGGGCCCTCATTACACTTAATCTACTTGCACCATGATCTTGGACTTCCCAGCCTCCAGAACTGTCAGAAATACATTTCTGTTTAATTTATTCTGAGATTTGGCTTCTCCTAGAGGCATTTCCTCTTTATCAAAAACTGAAACCTTGCCAGGCACAGTGGCTCATGCCTGTAATCCCAACACTTTGGGAGGCCAAGGTGGGTGGATCATGAGGTCAGGAGTTCGAGACCAGCCTGACCAATATGGTGAAACACGGTCTGTACTAAAAAATACAAAAATTAGCCACGCATGGTGGTGCACATCTGTAGTCCCAGCTACATGGGAGGCTAAGGTGGGAGAATCGCTGGAACCCAGGAGGCAGAGGTTGCAGTGAGCTGAGATCATGCCACTGCACTCCAGGCTGGGCAACAGAGCAAGATGCTGTCTCAAACAACAACAACAACAACAACAACAACAACAAAAACTGAAACCTTAAGCTAAAAAGTATTTCAGCCAGTAGAATTCTAGCTGTTTGCCATTCACCTGGCAGCATGAATGGGGAGTCAAGGGACTTCTGCTGCTCTGAAACCTCAATGCAGAACTTCTGCCAAGACACAGGGCCAGGTAGCCCTATCAGGCACTCCCCAGGCATTTGAACACACAAGGAGACAAAATTATAAGGGATGCAAGAACAAAATAATGCTAGACCATGGTCCTACAACTGTTTGTATCCTTGACTTCTAAAAGTATTTGAACACTTGTTTAAAATTTCTGCAGTTCAGTTTTTACTTTATGAAATGGAGGAATAACTCAAACCCCAGATTAAGCATCAGACTGAGAGGAAGTCTCACTGACTCCAGTAATCCCATTGAGAATTCTTTCTTTGTAGTCCTGAACAATGACGTGTTCTTTGACTCCAAGAAAGTAGGGGTTGCCAACCCCCTCCCCTCAGTAAGGTATTTTCACTAAACATCCCACAAGGGTTGGTATACAAGTGGGGTCTTTTCCCCAGTACTATAAGGGGAAAGGGACTCAAGTCTCTTTTCATGGTCAAAAGGACCTCTGAAACTGAAGGATGTGATTAATGAAGATTGAAGAACCATCACCATCCAACAAGCAATCTAGACTGAGTGAGGGTGCTCAACTTAGACCTGCCCCTTTGCCTTGCTGTGCCTTCCTCCCTCACACCCTCATCCCCAAGGGTTTTCTTTCATAGCCTCATTTTGCACCACAGGAAAAAAATGAGTGTGCTGGCAAGGTAAACCCAATACTCCTGATTGCCTCACAAAGCCATGAAAAGCTAACTGAAGACTATCTATACAGCAGGGGAAGTACCCAAACCAAATATCCATCTTCATGCATCCCAGAAAGATTTAAGTCAAAGGTGGTAATGCTGTTTTCTACTGTGAACCACTGACCCATGGAAAAATCAATGGAAAGCCACAAACAAATACAAAGCAACCTGGTTCTTTATTTTCCTTAGAGAAATATAAAGTATTAACCTGCTTCCTAAATTATAAATAAGGAAGCCTTGGAACAAAGTCAGTTAAAGTATAATATTAAAAAGATTGAAGAAAAAGAGACTTGTAAGATTTAGAGGAAAAGGCAGAGTTATCTCTTTTTAATGCTTACTTTCAAAGATAATCAGCTTACTAATTTTCTTGACTTTTAGGTCAACCTTAACCTTTTAACACATTGGTTGTTATCTGGAGGGTGCACACCTGTGGAAAGTAGTAAAACTGTACTTTCCTGGGCCATCTACAAGATCTTGATTCATTGGGGCTTTATCATATATGTATTTTTTGCTCCATGGGTAATTCTCAAGCACCATTCTGGTTCAGAATCTTGGTTTTAACTTATGGTCTCAACAAGGCAGCCCCACCAGTCCACAAAAGGATAAAGATTTCAACTTCTCTACCTTCTTCAATATCATGCTTACCCATGTAGCTTGATTTGGTCAATGAAATGTGGGCAAAGTGTCACTTTGGGAAAAGAGTCTACTTACCCAAAATTCATTGGCTTTTACCCCCTCTGCCACCATGATTAGTATGTGTCAGATAGAGGCTGCACCATTCTCCTGAATTCTACAGTGAAGAGGAATAAAGATAAAGCTGACCCACAATGGACTTGTAGCATGAGCAAAAATTAGGCTTTGTTTTTGCAGCCACTGAGATTTGGGGATTTCTGATGGTTAATTTCAGATGTCGACTTGACTGGGTTAAGGAATACCCAGATAGCTGGTAAAGCATGATTTCTGGGTATGTCTGTGAAGCTGGGCCTGAAAGTGATGGACATTTGAATCAGTGAATTGCATAAGGAAGATCCACCATTAGCCAGTGTGGGAAAGCACCATCCAATTGGCTGAGGGCCCAGGTAGAACAAAAAAGCAGAGGAAAGGTGAGTTTATTCTCTCTCTCTCTCTCTTGCATGTGCGCACATGTCTTTCTCTCTCTCTGAGAGCTGGGAGAGCTGCCCTTATACATCAGAACTCCAGGTTCTCTGACCTTCAGATTCCAGGACTGGTACCAGCACCCCCATCAACCATGTTCTCTGGCCTTCAGACCTGAACTGGGCCACCCTATTGGCTTCCCTGCTTCTCCAGCTCGTAGACAGCATGTCATGGGGTGTCAGCCTTCATAATTGCATTAGCCAATTCCCCTCATAAATTTCCTCTTGTGTATCAATATATATGTATATATCTTATTGATTCTGTTTCTCTGGAGAATCCTGACTAATACAGGACTGTTTGTTACTGCAGCATAATCTAACCTATTTTGACTGATACACAGCTCCCCAAAATAAGATAAATGTTGTATTTCTTTCACTGGCTGGAAAATCCTTGTCTCTGCCTTACGTAAAAGGAGGAAAGTAGGCAGGTGACTCCTACCTGCCTGGTGCATTACATACCTGCCTGGTGTCTTTTCAGGTTTTTAACAATGCCATAAGGAAGTTGTCCCTTATTTCCACGCCCCAACCTCTTATCTCTGCACCCCGATCCCTTATTTCCATGCCCCGACCTCTTATCTCTGTGCCCCAACCCCTTATTTCCATGCCCTGACCTCTTATCTCTGCACCTCAACCCCTTATTTCCACGCCCCAACCCCTTTCCCACTTTTCTGGAGGATAAGAACCCCTCAACCCCTTCCCTCCGTGTCCCTACTCTCTCTTTTCTCTGGGCTTGCCTCCTTCACTATGGGCAACCTTCCACCCTCCATTCCTGCTTCTTCTCCCTTAGCCTGTGTTCTCAAGAGCTTAAAACCTCTTCAACTCACACCCGACCTAAAACCTAAATGCCTTATCTTCTTCTGCAACACCGCTTGGCCCCAGTACAAACTTGACAATGGCTTTAAATGGCCAGAAAACGGCACTTTCGATTTTTCCATCCTACAAGATCTAGATAATTCTTGTCATAAAATGGGCAAATGGTCTGAGGTGCCTGACATCCAGGCATTCTTTTACACATTGTTCCTTCCCTACTCTCTGTTCCCAATGCGACTGGTCCCAAATCCTCCTTCTTTCCCTCCCGCCTGTTCTCTCAGTCCCAACCCCAAGCGTCGCTGAGTCTTTCTACTCTTCCTTTTCTACAGACCCATCTGGTCTCTCCCCTCCTCCCCAGGCTGCCCCTCACCAGGCGGAGCCAGGTCCTAATTCTTCCTCAGCCTCTACTCCCCAACCCTATAATCCTTTTATCACCTCCCCTCCTCACACCTGTTCCAGCTTACAGTTTCATTCTGCGACTAGCCCTCCCCCACCTGCCCGGCAATTTCCTCTTAAAAAGGTGGCTGAAGCTAAAGGCATAGTCAAGGTTAATGCTCCTTTTTCTTTATCCAACCTCTCCCAAATCCGTTAGTGTTTAGGCTCTTTCATCAAATATGAAAAACCCAGCCCAGTTCACGGCTGGTTTGGCAGCAACCCTGAGACGCTTTACAGCCCTAGCCCCTAAAAGGTCAAAAGGCTATCTTATTCTCAATATACATTTTATTAACCAATCCGCTCCTGACATTAAATAAAACTCCAAAAATTAAATTCCGGCCCTCAAACCCCGCAACAGGACTTAATTAACCTCACCTTCAAGATGTACAATAATAGAGTAGAGGCAGCCAAGTAGCAATGTATTTCTGAGTTGCAATTCCTTGCCTCCACTGTGAGACAAACCCCAGCCACATCTCCAGCACACAAGAACTCCAAATGCCCGAATCGCAGCTGCCAGGGGTTCCTCCAGAACCTCCTCCCCCAGGAGCTTGCTACAAGTGCCAGAAATCTGGCCACTGGGCCAAGGAATGCCCATAGCCCGGGATTCCTCCTAAGCCGCGTTCCATCTGTGTGGGACCCCACTGAAAATCAGACTGTTCAACTCACCTGGCAGCCGCTCCCAGAGCCCCTGGAACTCTGGCCCAAGGCTCTCTGACTGACTGACTCCTCCCCAGATCTTCTCAGCTTAGCAGCTGAAGACTGACACTGCCCGATCACCTCGGAAGCCTACAGGACCATCACAGACGCTCTGGGTAACTCTCACAGTGGAGGGTAAGTCCGTCCCCTTCTTAGTCAATACGGAGGCTACCCACTCCACATTACCTTCTATTCAAGGGCCTGTTTCCCTTGCCTCCATAACTGTTGTGGGTATTGACAGCCAGGCTTCTAAACCTCTTAAAACTCCCCAACTCTGGTGCCAACTTAGAAAACATTCTTTTATGCACTCTTTTTTAGTTATCCCCACCTGTCCAGTTCCCTTATTAGGCCAAGACATTTTAACTAAATTATCTGCTTCCCTGACTATTCCTGGACTACAGCCGCATCTCATTGCTGCCCTTCTCCCTAACCCAAAGTCTCCTTTGCATCTTCCTCTCGTATCTCCCCACCTTAACCCACAAGTATGGGACATCTCTACTCCTTCCCTGGCAACCCGATCACATGCCCATTACCATCCCACTAAAACCTAATCACCTTTAACCCGATCAACGCCAATATCCCATCCCACAGCATGCTTTAAAAGGATTAAAGCCTGTTATCACTTGCCTGCTACAGCATGGCTTCTAAAACCTATAAACTCCCCTTACAACTCCCCCATTTCACCTGTCCTAAAACCAGACAAGGCTTACAGGTTAGTTCAAGATCTGTGCCTTATCAACCAAATTGTTTTGCCTATCCACCCCGTGGTGCCAAACCCATATACTCTCCTATCCTCAATACCTCCCTCCATAATCCATTATTCTGTCCTAGATCTCAAACATGCTTTCTTTACTATTCCTTTGCACCCTTCATCCCAGCCTCTCTTCGCTTTCACTTGGACTGACCCTGACACCCATCAGGCACAGCAAATTACCCGGGCTGTACTGCCGCAAGTCTTCACAGACAGCCCCCATTACTTCAGTCAAGCTCAAATTTCTTCCTCATCTGTTACCTATCTTGGCATAATTCTCATAAAAACACATGTGCTCTCCCTGCTGATCATGTCTGGCTAATCTCCCAAACCCCAATCCCTTCTACAAAACAACTCCTTTCCTTCCTAGGCATGGTTAGTGCGGTCAGAATTCTTACACAAGAGCTGGGACCGCACCCTGTAGCCTTTCTGCCCAAACAACTTGACCTTACTGTTTTAGCCTAGCCCTCATGTCTGCGTGCAGCAGCTGCCACTGCTTTAATACTTTTAGAGGACCTAAAAATCACAAACTATGTTCAACTCACTCTACAGTTCCATAACTTCGAAAATCTATTTTCTTCCTCATACCTGATACATATACTTTCTGCTTCCCAGCTCCTTCAGCTATACTCACTCTTTGTTGAGTCTCCCACAACTACCATTGTTCCTGGCACGGACTTCATTCCGGCCTCCCACGTTATTCCGGATACCACACCTGACCCTCATGACTGCATCTCTCTGATCCACCTGACGTTCACCCCATTTCCCCATATTTCCTTCTTTCCTGTTCCTCACCCTGATCACACTTAGTTTATTGATGGCAGTTCCACCAGGCCTAATCGCCACACACCAGCAAAGGCAGGCTATGCTATAGTACAAGCCACTAGCCCGCCCCTTAAAACCTCTCGTTTCCTTTCCATCGTGGAAATCTATCTTCAAGGAAATAACTTCTCAGTGTTCCATCTGCTATTCTACTACTTCTCAAGGATTATTCAGGCCCCCTCCTTTCCCTACACATCAAGCTCGAGGATTTGCCCCACCCAGGACTGGCAAATTAGCTTTACTCAACATGCCCCGAGTCAGATAACTAAAATACCTCTTAGTCTAGGTAGACACTTTCACTGGATAGGTAGAGGCCTTTCCTACAGGGTCTGAGAAGGCCACCGCAGTCATTTCTTCCCTTCTGTCAGACATAATTCCTCAGTTTAGCCTTCCCACCTCTATACAGTCTGATAACAGACCAGCCTTTATTAGTCAAATCAGCCAAGCAGTTTTTCAGGCTCTTAGTATTCAGTGAAACCTTTATATCCCTTATGGTCCTCAGTCTTCAGGAAAAGTAGAATGGACTAAAAGTCTTTTAAAAACACACCTCACCAAGCTCAGCCACCAACTTAAAAAGGACTGGACAATACTTTTACCACTTTCCCTTCTCAGAATTCAGGCCTGTCCTCAGAATGTTACAGGGTACAGCCCATTTAAGCTCCTGTATAGACGCTCCTTTTTATTAGGCCCCAGTCTCATCCCAGACACCAGACCAACTTAGACTGTGCCCCAAAAAACTTGTCATCCCCACTATTTTCTGTCTAGTCATACTCCTATTCACCGTTCTCAACTACTCATACATGCCCTGCTCTTGTTTACACTGCCAATTTACACTGTTTCTCCAAGCCATCACAGCTGATATCTCCTGGTGCTATCCCCAAACCGCCATTCTTAACTCTTAAAGTAAATAAATAATCTTTGCTGGCAAGGCTATGCTGAACCTCTTTAAGCACTCTCTAATTAGATGTCCTGGGTCCTCCCAATTCTTAGACCTTTAATACCTGTTTTTCTCCTTCTCTTATTCTGTTTAGTTTTTCGATTCATACAAAACCGTATCCAGGCCATCACCAATAATTCTAAATGACAAATGTTTCTTCTAACAGTCCCACAATATCACCCCTTACCACAAAATCTTCCTTCAGCTTAATCTCTTCCACTCTAGGTTCCCACGCCGCCCCTAATCCCGCTCAAAGCAGCCCTGAGAAACATCGCCCATTATCTCTCCATACCATCCCCCAAAATTTTCACCGTCCCAACATTTTACCACTATTTTGTTTTATTTTTCTTATTAATATAAGAAGACAGGAATGTCAGGCCTCTGAGTCCAAGCTAAGCCATAATATCCCCTGTGACCTGCACGTACACATCCAGATGGCCAGTTCCTGCCTTAACTGATGACATTCCACCACAAAAGAAGTGAAAATGGCCTGTTCCTGCCTTAACTGATGACATTATCCTGTGAAATTCCTTCTCTTGGCTCATCCTGGCTCAAAAGCTCCCCTACTGAGCACCTTGTGACCCCTACTTCTGCCCGCCAGAGAACAACCCCGCTTTGACTGTAATTTCCCTTTACCTACCCAAATCTTATAAAACAGCCCCACCCCTGTCTCCCCTTGCTGACTCTTTTTTCAGACTCAGCCCGCCTGCACCCAGGTGATTAAAAGATTTATTGCTCACACAAAGCCTGTTTGGTGGTCTCTTCACACTGACACGCATGAAAGAAGTATTATCTTCATTTTAAAAATAAGAAATGTATGATTCAGAGAAGTAATTTGCCCAAGATTAGCAGTAATAATTTATCTTGGAATTAGACACACCCATGTCTAATTCTCAAGTTCACATACTCCAACATGGAAAGTTATTCAAAATATAACTACTTATGTCATTCTGTCTTTTATTTTTTTCTTCCTCTCTGCCAGGGTTTCTGTTTATGATGTTAGAAAGAAAGTCCCATAAGAAGAAGAAGAACTAGGAGTGAGTGTCTCAAGAAGTAAGAAAGGGGTATTGCCCCTGAGTCAGCCTCAGTGAGAAGCACGCACCCCAGGATCCCTGTGACTGGGCCTCTTAGCACGTCTTTGAAACAGATGACTGTTGGGAGCATGTCTTACATGCCAGCAAAGAAAATGCTGATAATTAAATGAAAATGAAATATCTAATGCAAATTGCATTAAAATATAATCCAGCTTATTTTTGAGAGAGGGAGGGTGCTGGTAACTGATTATAAATAAAATAGACCCAAAAAGCATTGATGTCTTGCTAGAGGAGTTACATATTTATAACCCCTTTAAAAATAAATTGTCATCCAAGTGTCATGCTGGGTTCTGCATCTCCATTGCTCCTAAAATAAACATGGGAGTACAGCCCAGAGTAAGATACAAAGGCTTTTTGCTCCCCCAGGAGCAAAGCCTTTCTTATAATCATGCCCGAAGCAGGCCAGAGACACACAGCTGTCCTCCACTCTACAGTCCTGTCTGTTTATTCTGTCCACCTGCGGAACCATGGGCTGTGAACAAGAGTGAGAACACACTCATCATACTGTGACACTCCACCCAGGGCATGATGTGACTCTGAGGGCAAAAGATCACACAGTTCTTGAGATAATACAACACACACACTGCATATAAAGTGTGAATTACCAACAAATAAATATTTATGTTGTTTTTCCAGAACAAGAGTTATAAGAGAGGTTTCTATTATATTACAAAGCAGAAAGATATTAACCTGTCAGATGCCCAGTGCTCCTCATGCCGCCAGTGCCAGCTCACAGGCCTGTAAAGTAAGAAGTTTGTCCTTGACGAGGTCTTCTTCCTCTTTCTGAAATGATTCTCCCACTCCCTTAGGCTGCCGCCTCTCATTTCCAGTGTTTAGCTATGTCTTTATTTCATTTATTAGCCACTATCTCTCTGGAAGCTTTCTCTAAAATCCAGGACAAACAGCACCTCCTGTATGAAACATCCTCTGACTACCCTCAACTCTCCATGACTTCGCTGTCTTTAGGAGCTCCCTCTACACTGACTTTCTGAGTTCAGCACTCCAGTATTTAATGACACCCTGTATGGTACCATTTATGGTTTCCCATTGAAATACCATACTTCCCAGAGTGGACATGTAAAGATCTGTTACCTGTATAGCATCCCTTCCTATAAGAAACAGCTCCTCCCCATTCTAAAGTAATTTGGCTTCATCTCTGTGGTTGAAGTGGGGCTAATCCCCCCATACCTCCTTCCTAGAGTTTGACAGAAGATGCAGATTTGACTAATCAGTAGAATTATCCCCCTTCCCAATAAGTGGTTCTAGAATTGAGTATCCTAAGTTAGGATAATCTCTGGACCATTGTCCAAGAGGGTTCAGGAACTGTAGCAACAGAGTACACCTGTGGCTGCCAGCAGCTGTGAAAAAAGCCAAGGCAGGCAAACAGAGATGAGAGACAAGAAGACGGGAAGAGAGAGATTATACTGCTTGATAACCCTGGCTCCAGCCATGCCTGAAGCTAAATACACCCCCCTGAAGTTAACATTTATATGAGTTAATCCTTTTTTTTTTCTTAGTCCCAGCTGACATTCTGCCACTTGCAACAATAGGAGGCATAACTAATACAATTTCCCAATCTAATTATAAACTCAAGTTATTGGTCCATGCAATAATATTTGTATTAGGGGTATTACATGTATATTATATATTTTTTGTATCTTTTGTGGGAGGATAAAGTGGCAACAACCCTTACACTGATCATCATATTTAAAGGCATAGGTATATTAAGATAAAAGAAAATAATCAGAACTAGTGCCTGAGTTTCTGGGTAGCAATATAAATGTGCCAGACATTTACAGTAAGTGGGGTAGGGAAACCCTTGCAAGGTGAGTTAGGCCAAAGGAACAAGTCAAATTCCCCTTAACACAATAATGTCAAGGTCTAATATTTCAAAAGAAGTGAAGTTAAATCCATGTTAACTGTGGGACTGTCCATTCTTCATATGATATTGGACGGTGCTGTCTTTTAGAACTCTCTCTTTGGTAACATGTGACTGCTTCCTAGCTGAGCAGTGAGGAAAACAAGTTGTTATTGGGACCAGAACCCACTATTCCCAGTCTATCACAGCTAAACCAGGGAAGCACTTTTATTAATATCCGGCGAATGACTGAAGCCTGATAATTTATGAGAAAAGGAGGAACAAAGGATCCTGCTTTTCTTTTTGGGAAAAAGATAGGAGGAAGAACACCTTCCATGGGGCAAAGGGTGGAAAGATCCAGACTGATGAATTTGGAAGGGAGGGATGCATGAAAAAGGGGGAGAGACAGGGATAGGAGAGGGAACCTCATAGGCTATCCTCCATCCAAAGGTCTGAGCCTGAACCACACTTTGGAAGTGTGGTATAGAGCAATTAATTCTGCTGGAAATAATTCCAGTCTCTGAAATTCTGACCCTCTAGGTCTCTTTACGTAAGAATCCCTTATCCCTTCCCAAAGACTAGAGTATGTAATCTGGAGAAGTCTGGGGAGGTGGGAAAAGGGACTTCACCTTGTCATTTTGAGTGGTAAAGAAACTCTAGAAGACTTCTCCAAAGTGCAAAAGGCAGTAAGATCATATTTCCTGATTACTAAGTCCTCTCTATGAGGGTTAGCAAAGGCCACCCTTTAGAGAAAAAAGCAAGGATAATGCTATAACCAGGCCCTATGTGACACTGCCTGAGTGTACAGCAGATAGACAATGGCTACTCTGCTCATTCTTCTTGTGGTCAACATGTGACCAGTCAGAGTTGAAGGTTACTATCTTTATTAGAAATGATTGGCAGAAATTCAGTTTTCTCAAAACAATGATGCTGAGTCATGTTGGATTTTCACTATAGAATGTTATAATGTGTTTACTGAGTGAGAAATACATACGTGCTCACTCACACAACATATGGATATGGCATGTTCTTAATATTAATAGCCTGAAAGCCATTGAAAGAAAGGGTCTCCAGTGGTTTGAAAAAGGAGGGGTAGGAAGAAAAATATTGGTTTAAAATATGGCACTTAGAGAATCTATTTTTTATGTCCTTTAAAGCACTACCACTTTTCAGGAGAAGATGAACTGAAAGCCCTATTTTAATAACTGGTTAGAAGTAACCTCTCTGGAAAGAACAAAGCTCATTTTCTGAAGACAATCCCTGCACCATGATAGTGAAAATGATGGGCAATTCAGGAAAATAAAAGCTAGCCTAGAAATCATATGCAACAAACCAAACAGCTTGTCCACAGCCCATTCCTCAGCAAGTGGGCAGAATAAACAGACAGGACTGCAGCGGGGAGGACAGCTGTGTGTCCCTGGCCTGCTTTGGGCAGCCAAATGGCTCACTCAAAAGCTCCAACTTGGAAGCTACAAGTTCAGTGTACTCAGTTTCACCAAGTTTAACTGAAAGAATTGGCTAGCACACTGATCTACAAGTGAAAAGACTTAAAGTTTAGTCTTATCTCTGCCAATAATTACCTCTGTGACCTTGAAAAAGTCATCTAATGTCCCCAGAAATCAGATAATCTTCAAGGGCCATCTAACTCTAACCTTCTAAGAATAAGTAAATTCTAACTTGGGTTACAGAAGAAAAGTCTCAAACTTCAGGATATTGTGAGTTGAACAGTAACGTCTTAACTGATGAAAATCCATTTGCAATGATTTTATTGAGATTGAAATAAAAGCTACTATTTAATGAGCACTTATTATATGCCAAGTCCTCTATGTCATCTGCAACCATTAACCTCATAAAGAAATATTATTATCCCTGTTTCACAGATCTGTAAATTGAGGTATAAAGAGTTTAGGAAAATTGCCCAAGATTTACAAAATTATTAAATTTTGAAGCCAAGATTTATGCACAGATCTGATTCATATTTTTACCCCCTTTTTTTCCTGTAGCTGGCTACCAATTCTATTTTTATTTATATAAAAACTCACAGTAAAAGAAAGTTTCTGAGCTCTGTGATGTGAAGTTTCTGATAAATATATGAGCAATTATGACAGAGATGGATAGCTGAACACCAAAATATGTGCACATCTATAGTGGGAGTATTGCTGGGAGGTAGACACATAGTCACCCACTACATTTCCTAGCACAACCCCTCTTGCTTCCAGGAAGGCCCAATAATTCTGTTTCTCCAACAGAATGTTAAGGACGTGATATATTTTGACTTCCAGACCGTGGAATTTGAGAAGTGCATGGGAGTTCTGCATACTCTCTTTTCTCAGCCACCTACAGCAAAGAACTCCAAGGTAGAAGATGTAAACCATGAGAGGGTAGGAGCATGGGTCCCTGAATTACTGTGTAAAAGAGATCAGCCTACTGTTCAGGAACAACTACACTGAACTATCACATTAGTGAGGAAAGAACATTTGTTACATAAGACAGTAACATTCTAGGGTTTGTTTGTTACATCGGCTAGCATTTCCCTAAGACAGGTAATCAGATGAACTATGTAGTGAACTTCTTATCTCTTTGCCCCTACCTTCCTCTAACACAATATTTCTCAATCTGTGTGTTGGGGAGAGGCAAAAGAGTTGGGATAAGAGAATGGGGAAGCTTTAAAAGACAGAAAAGCAGAGGAATAGAATGGATATATCAAATTGTCTTAGCCCATTCACAGACACATCCCATTTTGGTAGTTATGACACACACACCCATTTGGTAATTGTATCTTGGTAATAATGATATGTGCCAACACACACACTACATCTACCTTCCTAATACCCAGCCACACGTATCAGTTGAGAACCACCGTCCTGACATTCAAAGATGGTCACAACTGTTGATTCGGTCCTTCGCCAATCTTTTAAGACAGTTCTATTCTCATGCCGGAAAATACAAGAAGGACCAGACCAGCACCGTAGTGGCTGGACTTCCCAATCTGTCAGTTTGGCAAACTAGCCCCACAACCAACTCAGAGATCCATCCTAAGCCCAAGAAAATTTACCTCTGAACTTGGGAAGGGAGTCAGGAGGACACATGAGATACCAGATCCAGGAAAGTGTTAAAAGCAGCCAAGTTCCTCTAGGAGAGCCCAGGACTTGATGGTGGAAAGTAGGTCTATGTGCCTAAGAGTCCTCGAAGGGTATGGTATGTGTGGGCCGGGTAGCTCTACAAATTCTCACAAAGTCTAACACAAGTACACGAAATGCAATTACCAAAGGACAAAGCTGAATTGTGGCTGGAAATCCCAGACAACCATCCCAAGTTTAGGAGAATGCAGGTATCTGCATTCAGATAGGGAAAGAGGTGGGGAGTCCCATAAGAGCAGCATAAAGCATCCATTCAGATCTTCATGTCTTACCACGTCCTCAGGTGAATCTGATAGGAGGCAGGTTTCCTGTTCAACTCCTCCTGTATTCCTTGTCGTGGCAGAAACACATTCCAAGGGCTGGGCCGCTCTGAGCTCATGGAAGAGGAGAGGTGGGTGAGTTATTATAAAACAGCATTAAGACTTTTCTAAACCAGGAGGTAACTTAGGGATAATTTTCCACCCCCTTACTTTACAAACGAAGGACCAAGCTCCATTTGCTGATTTGAACTAGATAAGAGACAGACAGAGAGAGAGATAAGGGGATAGCACAATGCCTGCAGCCTCCTCCTTGCCCAGTGACTGACCAGGAGCCACATACAGGAAGAACTACAGGTCAACTACATTGTCTCCCAAAGCTTTAAGTGGCAGGCTGTGAATGTGAGGGGAGAGCCTTGCTGGAAGAAATGGCTACACAATGCCAGGCTTCCCCATGGGCCTTCAGAGAGTCTCAGTTTAGCATCAGTTTGGAACATTCAGGCCTGAGCGTTCAGGACGGATGAAGCCGACTGTTGCCCATTTCCTCCTCACAGGTGGCAGTGGCACTGCTTCCACCCGGTTTCACTGGAAATCAACTACCCCCCACGCCAAGCTGTGTAGAGAAGGGTTTGAGAGCAATGATCAGGATTAAAAAACAACAATGACGACAACAACAAAAATCTTTCTTGGATCAGACATCGCAGATCCTGCTGAGAACTCTGTGCTGCTTTCCATGATGTACTCGAAGCAGAAGAATCCCCCAAATTGGGGCAACAGGAGGCACTGGAGAGGCTGGGCTGTAATCAGACTCCATTCATTAGTGAGCTCTACCCTTAGCACAATCAGAGCCAAGGAATTTCACGCTTGGGTCTTGGAGCCTCCTCAGTGTTTAATCAATCAGCGGGACAGGTTTGCTAGATTCTCCATCTCAGCAGGGGCCTGAGCTGCCTGCCAAACACTTCCTGTGAGGAACTTCTGAAAAAAGAAAAAGGACAGTGAAAGAAAACAAAAACCAGCAAGCTGTGTCGGTGTGACAGGAAGGGGCCCCGTGGGACTAAGGGCAACTTTTCAGATAGAAGAAGGGGGAGCAGGGCCAAGTCCCACCTTGCCTGGCTCTGAGCGTCCCAGGGGCAACCTGTCACCTGCTCTTTAAAGAAGCGTAACATCCAAGCATGCAGGAGCCATGGGAGAGGCATAGGTAGCATGTCTGAAGAAGGCTTGTTTATGCATCCCTCTCCGGACTCCCTCTCCCTACCCTCCCTAGATGGGATCAGATGCCCCCTGTCACCAGACCCTTTTGTCAGACTGCAGAGTCCCTACCAATCTGAGTCCCTCCAAAAGCTTTTGTGTTCAATGAATTTCAGTTTCCAGGAGGCAATGTTTTAAATGAGTCACTCTCCAACTCCCTACCTAAGTGATTTCATTTTTAATGAGCTTCATTACCAGCGGCTTCGTTGAGCAGGGTATTCTGATCAGAGAATACATAGGGAAAAAAAAGCCTTAGAAAGCATCAAATCCAGCCTCACAGTTTTTCAGAAGAGCAAACCGGGGTACTCTAATAAAGTGCTAAATATATAACGTGTGCTGGATATATTATGCTATATACTAAGATGGTAAAACCCATAATTTCTGCAGTATTAGGAGGAGAGATCATAAAACTTGTATAGAAGCAGGTGGTGCCTAAAACTATCTTACATTCCTCAGCATGAAAATAAGGGTAGTGTGTTAGTTTCCCAGGGCTGCCATAATAAAGTGCTACAAACTGGGTGACTTAAGACAACGGAAATTTATTCTCTCACAGTTCTGGAGGCTGGAAGTCTGAAATCAAGGTGTCAGCAGGGTTGACTCTCTTCAAGGGCTCTGTGAGGGCATCAGTACCCATGCTTCTGTCCTGGTGATGGCTGGCAATCCTTGGCATTCCCTTGGCCCATAGATGCATCACTCCAACTGCTGTCCCCAGCATCCCATGACACTGTTCCTGTGTTTCAACACATCATCTTCACTCTGCGTGTGTCTCTCTTGTTTATATAAGGACCCCAGTCATACTGGATTCAGGGTTCAGCCTAATCAAATATGACCTCATCTTAACTTGGTTACGTCTGCAAAAACCTATTTCCAAGTAAGGTCATATCCACAGGTACCAAAGGTTAGCACTTCAAAACATGTTTTTGGGGACACAATTTAACCCATATCAGGTAATATCTTTCCTGTCTACTTGTTCTTAAGGAGAGTAGATGTTAAAACACACAAACTTGTAAACTTTGTGTATACGTGTATACACTTTGTGTTTTTTAAAAACCTTTTGTCTTCTATTTTCCTCAAAAGTACGGGCTGTAAAAGATATACCCTGGGCCCCGTTCCAGTTCCTCCTTAGAGCCTGTGTTGTTTCCTCAGAAACCCAAGCTGTGTATGTGGCACAGCAAGTAATGTCCAGAGAGCAGCTTTCCCAAGGTCAGGCTTGACCTCACATGCATCCAGGCTCTCAGCCAACACAAGTGGCACCCCAGCCCCCAGTGCTCTGTCATCTTTTTGTGATGGTGAGTTCCTTCTGCGGTATGTGTGCGCTGCTGTGAAGGATTGGAGAGGCATCTGAAGGAGACTGGAAAATGAACTTTGGCTTCCTTTAAGGAATTTAAAAGATGGAAAAGTCCTTGCCTCTCTACACTTGCTGCTTTTCTTTCTGAATCTCAGCCACGTTTGCCACTTCCCTTTAGCCTCCCAGTAACCCCTTGTGGCTCTGACCATGAGAGCGCTGAAGTTCAGAGACCACCTCACCCACTTGAGATTACCAAATAGTGGCAGAAAGTGGGGCTTGGGCGCAGAAGGTATATTTTTCAGGTTGAGAACTTTCTGTTACATGCTTCAGCTCTGCAGAGAATGACTCTTCCCAGAAATATAATTGGAAAGGTAGGGTCCATAGGGTTTCTGGGTCTGCAGTTTAGATAAGAATACCAAAATCTAGAAAACATGAAAGATGGATCCTGTGAGGAGTTTCAGTGAGTCTAGTAACTCGAATGAATTCTGGTGTTAGCTCATAGCCTTACTGCCTATTAAAATGAAACCTTTCTTAGCAGGAATCAGATTCAAGTTCAACTCATTATAGTTTGCTCAGAGTGAGCCACAGGTCTAGAGCACCGGGTTTGATTGAAATACCAGGAAGCTGTTTGGTCTCTTCCAGTCCACATGTAATTAAATATCTATAGGGTGCCAGTGTCGCTATCCCCTGAGCACTGTGGAGGCTACATCAGAAGCCCAGGACTCCACTTCTTTCCTCAAGGAGTTTAGAATATCATGGGGAGGCCTGATTTGTACACCTAAAATAAAGAGTTTTAAATGTTAGCATAAAACAAAACATATCAAGGGTCAACAAGTACAGCAGTAGGATCCACAGGCAGTCGGCATAAGGAGAAACCAGTGTCTAATGGAGGTAAAGGAAAGACTTTCTTTGGAGTCAGTCCTGCCCATCCCAGCTTTGCCTGGCTACAGCTTCTGGTAAACCCTCAACTTGCAAATCCAGAACAATTCCATCTATTATCTCAGTTTTTCTTGAACTTTTTGACCACAACACATAATTAAAAAACTACTTTCTATGACAATTCAGTACTCACCTACAAAAACATAAAGAAGCAGTATTCTTCTGGATGGGTTTCTTCATTTCTCTAGATTCAGTGTCCATCCTGCTTTTCTCCCCAGGTAGCAGATGCAAGGGGACCACGTCAATGGGCTCTGTTGCCCTCCAGCCAAAGGTGGGTTTGGCCAAAAGGAGGCACCATTAGGAGATAGGGATGGCAGGAGGGGAGTGGTATTGGGGCATGTTGCATGCCAGCTCCCACTTGCCAGCTGGTGTGTGATGTCTGCCTCCCTCTTCCAGAGATCCCAGCATTCACCAAGCAGGTCAGCACCTGTAGATAACAAAGCCAGGGAGATGAGGCTTTGAGCCACTAGATTTGGAACTGCTGAGCACATTGTTTGGAGGCTAACTTCCTAGGTGGGCCAGTGCCTCCGTTCTAACAATACTCAGCCAAAATTTCTTATTCTCCTGGCTAACTGATTCAAGGAAGCATGAGGTGTTAAACCATGAAGCAAGGAAGATGGGTCCTGAAGAATGGAAAGGGTTTTGAAAAGTGAAAGAAATCATAAAAAAAAAAAAAAAAAAAAAGACACAAGGTAGCCCTGTTCTTTAATCAAGCAACTCATTTGATTTGATGCTCAGATTGGCAATAGCATCCCCTTTGAAGGTCTGTGAAAGCAAAAAGAACATCTTTCTTGCATGACTCTCAATATTTCTAAGACTAATTTCTCTTATATACTGAACAATGTCTCCCTGTAAAAATAAAAAGTGCTACTCACTTCTTTCAAAGATTATTTCATGAAATTGGCTATTCATAGGAGTCTAGCTCCATCTCCTGTTCAGGAGCACTGGGGCGTATCTAACCTCTGTGCCAGTGGCTGGGCTTTCTCAATCAACCTGTTGTATGTTGCTGTTGTATCTGACTTTGCAAAGAGCAGCCTCACATACATAGAGCTGAAGGTAACTGGTTGGCATTTTTATGAGCTTTTATTCTTTATTGCATTGCTTTAATCTAAGAAGAAAAAAGTGAATTTAAGGTTTTATAATCCTAATAACCCATGTTGCATTTATTATACATCCAGCCCATAAGCCTCTGATCATGAATATTGACTATCCTGAGTAATGACAAGGGGAGACAGTGGTTGGTTGAGCCTTCCGAATGTTGGCAGCTGAAGAAAGCTGTGGTTTTCATGTGGTCTGCATGTCTCATCAGCACTGAGGAGAGCGGTCAAGCCAGAGAAGAAAGCTGCTTCCCTTCCCCTGTGGAATGGAGACTGTGCAGCCCTGCCCTCTCTGGCAACCATCTCATCTGAAAACTGTTGAAGTAGATGAAAAGAATCTGAAAATTTCCTTGAAGAAGATTATGCCCATCCACAGGATTTTGAGCCACTTTCATTGGCTTGGTGTGGCAGTCTTCCCTCCATAAAAAGTATAAGTCACCTGGAGCCTGCATTGTTTCCTCTTTAAATGCTTTTATCTGGCTCCCCATGATGAGCCATTAGCAGCACTGTAAAGTGATGCAAGCTACCTAGTGGAAGTAAAGTGGACCTTGACATCTGAAGCATAGATTTGAGTCTTGGCCCATTCCCCACTGCCTTGTGAACCTGGGCTAGCCATTAAGAAGACTGAGCTTTTATTTTCTTGTTATAATTCAGAAATAATAGCAATATTTCACTTATGGGTTTGTTATGCAAGTTAAATGAGTGTTTGGAGGTTGGTCCTAGAGAGGAGTTTGGGTCATGGGGACAAATTCCTCAGGAATAGATGAATACCCTCTCATGGGGGTGAGTGAGTTCTGTCTCTCTCACAGGAATGGATGAGGTCCCACACGAATGAACTGTTAAAAAGAGGCTGGCTTCCTCCGCTTTTCTCGCTTGCTTCCTCTTGTGCCGTGTGATCTCTTTGCACTTGCCTGCTTTCCCGCTTTCCACCATGAATGGAAGCAGCCTGAGGCCCTCACCAGAAGTAGCTGCTCAATCATGAACCTTGCAGCCACCAAAATCATGAACTAAACAAATTTCTCTTTATAAATTGCCCAGCCTCAGGCATTCTGTTGTAACAACACTAAACGGAGTAAAACAGGGGATAATCCTTAGATTAAGGGAAGACCCTTAATCCAGATGCACTATTAAATGTAAAAGAGTAGCAATCCCCAACCTTTTTGACACCAGGAATGAGTTTCACAGAAGACAATTTTTCCACAGATTTGAGGGTGGGATGGTTTCAGGACGATTCAAGCGCATTACATTTATTGTGCACTTTATTTCCATTATGATTATGTTGTAATAGATAATGAAATAATATACACCTCACCATAATGCAGAATCAGTGGGAGCCCTGAGTTTATTTTCCTGCAACTAGATGTTCCCATCTGCGGGGTGACAGGAGACAGTCACAAATTATCAGACATTACATTCTCATAAGGAGCACACAACCTAGACCCCTCACATGTGCAGTTTACAATAGGGTTCATGCTCCTGTGAGAATCTAATGCCACCAGTGATCTGACAGGAGGCAGAGCTCAGGCAGTAATGCTCACTCACCTGCCACCCACCTACTGCTGTGCGGCCTGGTTCCTAAGAGGCCACAGACCAGTACTGGTCCATGGCCCAGGGGTTGCAGACTCCTGTAAAAGAGCGGCACAGGCAGTGGAAATTGCAAGATCGTTCAGGGTAGCTCCAGTAGCTGAAGATGCTGAGAGAGCAGGTGTATATAAAAGTGTGGTAGAAAGTGAAGAATGACAGGCAGGCAAGGACCAGTCCACGATAGCTAGAAAACTAGTTATGAAAGCCCCCAATAGGGTGGCAATTGAGCCATGGGTATACATGAGATTGTCCAGGGAGAATATGTGGGATTTAAAAAAAAAAAAAAGGAAAAGTCATGAGAATTAAATCATTTGGAATATTCAGATTGAATGGAAAAGTGAAGAAAAAGTTATTCACAATGGATACTTGAGAATTAGTGTCATAAAGTCAGAAAATGAGACTTAAAGAAAAGAAACCACCTTGGAAAGTGTAGCAGGGAAATTGCATAAGACAAGAATTAATGGTATCTGTTGGGTTTGGCTTTTAGGTAGTCTCTGGCAGTCTGGAGCAAAAGCAGTTTGAAATGGTGATCGTGAAAGCCTGATTTCAGAAGTTTAAAGATAAAACAGAAGATTAAAATCTGGAGGTCATGAAAGAAGCAATATTTTCAAGTGAAGAAAAGAAAGAATGTGTTAATAGATAGGTTACTGAGTAGAAAGAGGTTTACCAAAACCATAGAGACACGAGTCTATTTATAGAATTCAATAGAAATGGGATAATTTAAAACACAAGAAAAAGAGAGGGATAAAAAGAAAGAGGTAACTTTATGTTGCTCTCCAGAAACTCTGGAACTACCATGAAGGTGACTCTGAACTCACACTCTGAACATCTCTGCCTATTCCTTCTACCAAGCTATAACTAATGTGTCTATCCTTCTGCCAAAAACTTCGGCATAACTGCTATCCCATCAAACATACATAAAGGCCCTAATGTCAAGGTGTAGTAAAGACATAGAGTGCTTAGTGGTCCAGAAGCAGCAGGCCAGGAAGGTGGAGGAGGACAGAAGCAAGAACAACTTCCAGAGAGGAGGAGGAGAAGAGCTGCAGGAAACAGGCTTCTGTTCCCATGACCTTTAACCTTCTGCTAATTGCAGTAAGTGCATTGTGTGCCAGGTGGGGAGGATGCCAACAAAAAACAACAACAAAAACAAACACAAACACACACAAAACCATAGTCTTTTGGGCCGGGAGAACCTAAAAATTGAGTCTGGAGAATTATGACTGTGAAAGAGTGAGGGTGGGGAGCAGTCCCAACAGAGAAAGGGCCAGAAATGTGGTCTCCAAATTCCATCTATACACATTGCTGACTGACTCCTGAATCATACATTTGGGGAAAAAAAAAAATCCCCTCAAAGCAGCTCTGCTAAAGACAAAGATCTTAAATTGAGTCTACACTGCATGAGAAACAGAGTTTGTAACACAGGACCAGCCAAGAGAGTTGCTTGCTAAAATAAAAGAACTCTCATTCAAGAAAAGTGACAGGATCCAGAATCTGTACAAGATTGCATTCACAATATTAAACTTATAATCTAAAATTAGCCAACATGTAAGGGCTTTAAAAATCAGAAGACGGCCGGGCGCAATGGCTCATGACTGTAATCCCAGCATTTTGGGAGGCCGAGGTGGGCAGATCACGAGGTCAGGAGTTCAAGACCAGCCTGGCCAACATGATGAAACCTTGTCTCTACTAAAAATACAAAAATTAGCTGGGCATGGTGGCATGCACCTACCTCTAATCCCAGCTACTTGGGAGGCTGAGGCAGAAAAATCGCTTGAACCCGGGAGGCGGAGGTTGCAGTGAGCCGAGATCATGCCACTGTAAGTAAAAAAATAAAAAAACAGAACACATTCTCTAAAGAAAAGAAAAATCAAGTGAGATTTTATCCTGATCCTAAGATGTTGGAGTTAGCAGTGAAGATTTTAAAGCAGCTATTGTAATCATGCTCAGTGGAGTAAAATAAAATATGCTTGCAACAATTGCAAGGATAGGAATCTCAGAAGAAAAATGTAAATACAGCAAAACAAACATATAAAAATTTTAGAACTGAATTCTAGAACTGCAGCAACGTGGTTGCAAAGTTTTTATACTGTATGTGAACTGGTACAATTGTAGCTGAAAAGGGACTGTAGAAAGATAAGATTATATATTGTAATCCTACAGCAATTATGCTTTTATTGCAAAAGAGTACATGTAAAAATCATGAAAAAATTAAAATAGAATTCTAAAATATCTTCTAATAACGAAAAAGTCAAGACAGAAAGATTAAAGAGGCAAGTAAAATAATAATTAAATAGATTCAAATAAAACTATATCAATATTTAATGTAATTACTAATAATAGGCTAAACACTCAAAAGGGAAAAATTGTCAGAATAGATTAAAAAATACGAGCCCACTATATTCTATATACACAAGACTAACTTTAAATATGAAGACACAGATAGGCTAAAAGTAAATGGAAAGAAATGATAAATCATGTAAATAGTAAGTACAAAAAGATGGAGTAACTATATTAATATCAAATAAAATGAATTTTAAGAAGAAAAATATT
The DNA here is from genome assembly GCF_000001405.40 of Homo sapiens. Taxonomy (NCBI): domain Eukaryota; kingdom Metazoa; phylum Chordata; class Mammalia; order Primates; family Hominidae; genus Homo; species Homo sapiens. The sequence goes on along the minus strand of NC_000018.10, from coordinate 51,555,788 downwards.
AGCAGACACAAAAGTGATAATTCTTCATGTTAAAAGTGGCAATTCATTAAGAAGACTTAATCATAACTATGTTTGTACTTAATAGTTTCACAATATATAAAGAAAAAATTAGCAGATTTAAAAGAGAAGTAGACATTTTTACAATCACAGCTGCAAAGTTTAACACCATTCTCTCAACAATTGCTAAAACAATCATACAAAATATCAACAAAGACACAGGATATCTGAATAACACTATCAACTATCTTGACTCTATTGATGTTTATAGAACACTCAACCCAACAGAGGCATAATACATATTTTATACGTGCACGTAACACATTCACAAAAATAGGCATAATACATATTCTTCACAAGTACACAAAAATATCCTTAACCATAAAACAAATCTCGATAAATGTAAAAGACTGAGAAGAGTGACTTCACCAAAATGGCAGAGTAGAAGCAATCTGGCTTCACTCTCCCCCATGGAAAACTGAAAACAAATATCTAGAGCCAAGATTATCAGCAGCAGTATCTCAGAACTCAAATCTGAGGCCAAAATGATCCCCAGGGCCATAGAGAGGTGAAAAACTCTGAGTAGATGGTACAAGAAATGAACTCTACATCTGTGATGTCCTTTCCCCAAGCTGCCGCTCACTGCACAGAAAAGTCCCCACAGAATCAAACTTTCTACATTAGAAAAAGTGAGATCCAGGCAGACAGCTAGCTTTTCCACCATGTCGAATTTCTTCACTGGAAAACCTTTCCTGCCTAAACCACAGAAAAAATTCTGAGTGGCTGAAAGGAGGAAAAACCCTGAGGGCAGCTTGAGAAAAACAGAGAAGATGGGACTAGCAACGCTGGCCTTTGAAATTGTCCTGTTTATCTCAGCCAAAGGAGATGCCAAATCAGTGCAGCTTTTCAGCAGCATCACACCATAGGTGGTAAGGTCCACAGGTCCCTTGGACATGAAACCCTACCTAGTCTTTCCACACAGCCTGGGTAGCCCCTGCCCAATCGGGATGGGCAGCAGTCTGAATGTTTGTGAGAATCAAGGCAAACCTAGGCTTGAGGAGGTGCCATCTACTGCCAAAAAGGAGGCAGTGAGGTAGGGTAAAAGGGGCTCAACACGCGAACCGCAAAGAACCTCTAAGCAAACACACTCTAAGAAGACCAAAACAAGCCACACAGCAAAGACTGAAATAATTAACTAATCCTTCAGTGCAAAGACATAGATGTATGTCCACAAGAAACAACAGCAAACAGGGAACCATGGTCTCCCTAAACAGACAACGAAAGGAGCCAGTGATCAACCCAGCAAGATGGCGATGTGTGAACTCTCAGATCAAGAATTCCAAATTATCAGTTTTAAGGAAACTCAGTGAACTTCAACATAACACAGAAAATAAATTCAGAAATTTGTCACAGAAATTTAACAAAGAGATTGAAATAATTTTTACAAAATCAAACGCATCTTGGAACTGAGAAATACATTTGCTAAAATAAAAAAATGCATTAAAGGCTATTAACAGCAGAATGGATCAAGCAGAAGAAAGAATCAGTGAGCCTAAAGACAGGTTATTTGAAAACACATTGTAAGAGAAGAAAAAAGAAAATGAAAAGGAACAAACTACACCTACGGGATATAGAAAATAACTCCAAAAGAGCAAATCTAAGAGTCACTGGTGTTAAAGAAGGAGTTGAGAAAGAGTAAGGAGTAGAACGCTTATTCAGAGAAAACAAAACAGAAAACTTTTCAAACATAGAGAAAAATATAAATATCCAGGTACAGGAAGGTCAGAGATCACCAAACAGATTCAATCCAAATAAGACTACCTCAAGGCATACAACAGTCAGACTCTCAGATCTCAAGGACAAAGAAAGGAACATAAAAACAGAATGAGAAAAGAAGCAAATAACATATAAAGGAGCTCCAATCCATCTGGCTACAGACATCTCATCAGAAACCATACAGGTTCAGTAACGAATGGAATGACGGCGGGGTGCGGTGGCTCATGCCAGTAATCCCAGTACTTTGGGAGGCCGAGGCGGGCGGATCACAAGGTCAGGAGATCGAGACTATCCTCGCTAACATGGTGAAACCCCATCTTTACTAAAAATACAAAAAATTAGCCGGGCGCAGTGGCGGGCGCCTGTAGTCCCAGCTACTCGGGAGGCTGAGGCAGGAGAATGGCGCGAACCTGGGAGGCAGAGCTTGCAGTGAGCCGAGATCGCGCCACTGCACTCCAGCCTGGGCGACAGAGTGAGACTCTGTCTCAAAACAAACAAAGAAACAAACAAACAAAACAAAAATGGGATGACATATTCAAAGTGCTGAAAGAAAAAACAAAACTGCCAGCTGAGAATTCCATACCCCAGCAAAACTATTCTTTAAACACAAAAGAAAGTTAAAAGTCTTTCTCAGACAAACAATAGCTGAGAAACTTCATCACCATCAGACCTGTCTTATAAGAAATTCTAAAGGGAATTCTTCAATCTGAAAGAAAAGGACAATAACATACAACAACAAAAAAAAACTGAAAGCGTAAAACCCACTGGTAAAACTAAATACACAAACTCAGAATATTCTAATGTTGTAATTGTGGTATGTAGGACACTCACAGCTCTAGTATGAAGACTAAATGGCAAAACTACAAAAAATAATAACTAAGCAACTTGTTAATATGTAAAGATATAAATTGAGATAACAAAAAGTCAAAATGTGAGGGGATGAAGTTAAAGTGTAGAGGTTATTTTTAGATTTTCCTATGTTGGTTTATTTTCTTTGTGACCTGAGACAAGTCATCATCTGTTTAAAATAACTTGTTCTATCTATGGTTTTTGTAAGCATCATGGTAACCACAAAGCAAAACCTGTAGTAGATACACTAAAAATAAAAGCAATGAATTAAAACATACTACCAGAAAATAATCACTTACCCACAAAGGAAGATGGTAAGAAAGGAAGAAAAAAAGAGGAGTTACAAAACAACCAGAAAACAGGTAGCAAAATAAGTTACTTATCAATAACTCCTTGCCTATCAATATTAACATTGAATGTAAGAGTAGCCTAAATTCTTCAGTTAAAACAATAAAACATAGAGTAACTGGGTGGATTAAAAAAAAAAAAAAAAACAGGACCCAACTATATGCTTCCCATAAGAAAATCACTACCTGTAAAGACACAACAGACTGAAAGTGAAGAAATGGAAAAAGATATTCCATGCAAGCAGAAACCAATTAAAAAGCAGGAGTAGCTATACTTTTATATTAGATAAAACACAGTTGATCCATGAATAATTCAAAGGTTAAGGGTGCCAACCCCCTGCACAGTTGAAAATTTGTGTATAGCTTTTGGCTCCCAAGAAACTTAACTACTAATAGCCTACTGTTAACCAAAAGCCTTATCAATTACATAAACAGTCAATTAACACATAGACTAGCATCTACATATATTTTATGCACTCAAGATGTATCTAACTTTTTAAAATTTTTTTCAATATTTCTAGGCTATGTGCTTCGTCTGTGAGTTTTATCAAATTGTCACAAATCTCCAAAAAAATTTCCAATATATTTACTGAAAAAAATCTGCATACAAGTAAACCCACACAGTTCAAACCCATGTTGTTCAAGGGTCAATTGTAGACTACAAGTTAAAGATCATAAAAAGAGACAAAATGGTCACTATATAATGATAAAGGGGTCAGTTCAGTGAGAGGATATAACAAATGTAAATATATATGCACACAACACTGGAGCACCCAAATATGTAAAGCAAACATCAATGGATCTAAAGGGAAAATAGACCGCAATACAATAATAGTAGGGGACCTCACCACCCTACTCTCAGTAATTGACAGATCATCCAGACAGAAAATCAACAAACACATTGAAGTTAAACTATACATTAGACTAGATAGACCTAAGTGATATTTACAACCTTTCACTCATCTGCTGCAGAACACACATTCTTCTCATCAGCCCGTGGACATTCTCCACTATAGGACACAAAACAAGTCTCAACAAATTCAGAAAGATCAAAATCATATCGAGCATCTTTTTTGGGCACAGTGAAATAAAACTAGAAATCAATAACAGGAACTTTGAAAATTACAAAAACACATGGAAATTAAACAATATGCTCCTGAATAATCAATGGGTCAATGAAGAAATTAAGAAGAAAATTCTAAAATGTCTTGAAACAAATGGAAATGGAAATGGAACATATGAAAATACACGGAATACAACAAAATCAGTACCAACGGGGAAGTTTATAGCAATGTAAGATTGAAATAATACAATGTATGTGCTCTGATCACAAAGAAATTAAATTAGAAATCCATAGCAATAAGATAATTGAGAAAACCCAAATAATTAGATGGCGTACTTCTAAATAATCTTCTGGTCAAAGAAGATATCATGAAAGAAATTAGAAAATATTTTGAACTGAGTAACAATGAAATTATCATTGATATCAAATTTGTGGACTGCAACTAAATCAATGCCTAAAGGGAAATTAATAACTGTGTTTAAATGCCTATGTTAAAAATAAGAAAGATCTAGAGTCAGTGATCTGAGATCTCACCTTATAAAATGAAAAAACAAGAGCAAATTAAACTCAAAGTAAGGAGAGAGAAGAAAATATAACAAAGAGCAGAAAACAATAAAATAAAAAATGAACATGCAATAAAAAAGAAAAGTGAAAAGAAAATCTGATTCTTTGAAAAGACCAACAAACTGGCAAGCCTCAATAGATTGAGCAAAACAAAAAATAGAGGTACAAATTATCAGAATAAGGAATGAAAAAAGGGGCATAAGACTAGAGATACTATGGATATTAGAAGGATAATAAGGGAATATGTTATACAAGTTTAAGCTAACAGATCTGACAATGTAGATGAAATGGGCAAATTCTTTTAATAACGTGAATTAAGAAAATCGATCCAAGATGAAATCAATAAATTAAATTTCCCTATATCAAAAAAAGAAAATTGAATTCATAATTTAAAACTTTCTCACAGAGAAAACTCTAGGGCAAGATTGCTCTAATAATATTTCTATCAAATATTTAATAAATAACACCCAAATCTACACAAAGTCCTTCAGAAAACAGAGAAAGAGGAAATACTTCCCAGCTCATTGTATAAGGTCAGTATTATCCTAATACAAAACTAGACAAAGATAACACAAGAAAAAAAAAGAACTATAATTCAATATTTCTCATAAACATGGACACAAAAATTCTAACAAAATGTTGGTGAATGAAATACAGCAATATATATAAAGCCTAATGTATTCATGATTAAGTAATGTTTATGCCAGGAATGCAGACTTAGTTTAATATTCAAAACTCAGCCAATGTAATTCTCCATATTAACATGAAAAAGAAGAAAAGGCATATCATCATTTTAATTGATACTAAAAAATTTAAAAGCATTTTATAAAATTCAATACCCTTTCATTACAAAAATTCATAGTTTGGAATGGAAGGAACAAACTCAATCTAATTAAGGGCATCTGTGAAAAACCTATATAGCCAACTTCATATTCAGTGAAGGTCAATGGTGAAAGGTTCAGTGCTTTCAGCCCAAGATCAGGAATGAAGGACAGTCATCCACCCTCACTTTTCTTCAACATTATACTGAGGTATCTAACTAATGGGCTCAAAGAAATAAATAAAACCATAATAAAGGGAAAAGAATAATGAAAACTTTCTTTACTGATATGATATGATCATGTATATAAAAAATTCTGAGGAATAAACAAAAAAAGAACTAACAATTGAATTTAAGAAAGTCATAGAACACAGTCAATTTACAAATATCCATTACATTTCTATATTCTAATAATAAGAAATTAGAAAATAAAAATTTTTAATAATATACTTAAGAATAAATTTAATAAGAAATGTAGAAGACCTCTACACTGAAAACTATAAATCAACACAAAAGGAAACTGAAGAAAAATACACTGTGCTCATAGATTGATCAATAGTGTTAAGATGGCAGTTCTCCCCCAAACTGATCTATACAGTCAATGCAGTCCCGATCAGAATCTTAGTAGACAACTTTAAAAAAATTGACAAGCTGATTTTAAAATTTACATGAGGGGCCAGGCGCAGTGGCTCACACCTGTAATCCCAGCACTTTCGGAGGACAAGGGGGGGCAGATCACCTGAGGTCAGGAGTTCAAGACCAGCCTGGTCCAAAATGGTGAAACCTCATCTCTACTAAAAATACAAAAATTAGCTGGATGTGGTGGTGGGCACCTGTAATCCCAGCTACTCTGGAGGCTGAGGCAAAAGAATTGCTTGAATCTGGGAGGCGGAGACTGCAATGAGCTGAGATGGCACCACTGCATTCCACCCTGGGCGACAGAGCGAGGTTCTGTCATAAAAAAAAAAAAACAAAAAATTAAAAAAATTAAAAATATAATAAAATTTACATGAAAAGTCAAAGGACTGATAATAGGCAAAACAATTTTGGAAAAGAAGAATAAAATTGGGGGATTTAATTTCATGCTGACTATAAAGCTACTGTAATTAAACAGGGTGATATTGGCATAAAGATAGGCATGTAATTAATGGAGCTTGGAGACTCCAGAAATAGACAATTATGAGCAATGCTGCTATGGACATTTGTGAATATGAATCCTGATACACCTAAGCATAACTTTCTATAGGGCACATGTCAAGGAGTATAGGTATAGTCAATAGGTATGGGTATCTTCTACTCACTGCAAAGACTGTTTTCTAAAAGCAGCATACCAATTTACTCTTGTCAGCAATAAATGGCAGTTTCTGTCTTTGAGCACCCTTTCCAGCACTTGTAATTGTTGAACTTTTTCATTCTAGCCAATCTGATAAGTACACAGTGTTACCTTATCAAAGTTCCAATTTTCATTTCCCTGAGTAATAATAAGCATATATGTCTTTTCATACATTACTTGGTCATTTAGATATCCTATTTGTAATATGCTTATTTAAGTCACTTCCCATTTCTCTATTAGATAACATGTATTTTTACTATTAATTTGAAGAAGTTTTAAAATATACTCTAGATATAAACCTTTTATTCGTTACATGACAAATAAAAATATGTTACAAACATATTTTCCCATCTCGTGGTTTGCTGTTTGCCTCTCATTATTTGTATTTTGGTGAGCAAAAGATCTTAATTTTAATGTAGTCCAATATATTAATCCTTTAGAGAGCCCAGAAATAAACCCATACATCTATGGCCAATTGATTTTTGACATAGGTTTCAAGAATATACAATGGGAAAAAGATAGTCTCTTCAATAAATGGTGTTGGGAGAACTGGATATCCATATACAGAAGAGTGAAATTAGATCTTTTTCTCATACGATGTGAACAAATCAACTCAAAATAGACTAAAGATTTAAATATAAGACTTGAGACTATAAAACTACTAGAAGAAAACATGCTCCACAACATTGGCCTGGGCAGTAATTGATATAGATAGATAGATAGATAGATAGATAGATAGATAGATAGATAGATAGATAGATATGGATATAGATATCCGAAAACACAGGCAACAAAATTTATATATATATAAAATAGACAAATGGATAGTATCAAACTAAAAAGCTGCTGCATAGCAAATGAAACGATTAACAGAAGGAAGAGACAATCCACAGAATGAGAGAAAATATTTGCAAATCATGTACCTGGCAAGAGGTTAATAGCCAAAATACATAAAGAACCTAAACAACTCCAGAGCAAAAAAACTAATTACCCAATTTTAAAAATGGGCAAAGGATCTGAATATATAGTTCTCAAAAGAAGACATACAAATGGCCAACAGGTTCATGAAGAAAATGCTCAACATCACTAATCATCAGAGAAATGCAAATTAAGACCATAATGAGATATCACCTCACACCTGTGAGAATGGCTATTTACCAAACTGAGGAAAGATTAACATTGGCAAGGATGTGAAGAAAAGGAAACCCTTGTACCCTATTGCTGGATATAAATTATTATAGCCATTCTGTAAAATGGTATGGAAGTTCCTCAAAAAACTTAAAATAGAACAACCAAATGATCCAGCCATCCCACTGCTGGGTATATATCCAAAGGAACTTAAATCAATGTCTAAGGGCTACCTGTACTCCCATGTTCATTGCAGCATTATTTACAATAGTCAAGATATGCAATCAACCTAGGCATCTGTCAACAGATAAATGGATAAAGAAATGTGGTATATAACCTAATGGATTGCTACTCAACCCTATAAAGAAGTAAATCCTGTCATTTTCAACAATGTGGATGAACCTGGAAGACATTAGGTTAAGTGAATTAAGGTAGGCACAGAAAGACAGACACTGTACAATCTCACTTACGTGGGATCTAAAAAAGCCAAACTCACAGAAGTGGAAAATAGAATGATGGTTACTGGAGGCTGGGGGGTGCAGGGAAGTAGGGAGGGAATAGGGAGATATTGGTCAAAGAGTACAAAGTTTCAGTTCAACAGGAAGAATAAGTTTTTGAGGTCTATTGCACATTACATAATAATGTATTATACATTTCAAAAAACCTAAGACAGTAAATTCCAAATGTCTCACCACAAAAACAGAGGTGCTAGATATGCTAATTAGATTGATTTAGTAATTCCTTTTTGTATACATGTATCAAAACATCACATTGTACCCCATAAATGTATATTGTGATTTATCAATTAAAATAATATTAATGAAAATCAATAATTACTAAAATATATAAATAAAAGTAGTTAATATTGTCTTAAAAACAAATACATCAATCCTTTATTTTATAGTTAGAGCTTTCTGAGTCTTGTTTTTCCACACTCTGAAGTCTTGAAGGCATTCACCTGTATTACCTTCGAAAAGCTTTTCCACTTTGCCATTCACACTTAGGTCTACTGACTGCCTAGAATTATCTTTTATATATAGTGTGAGAAAAGGATCCTATTTCATTTTTTCCTTTATGGATATCAAATTGTCCTGGCGTTATTTATTGAAAAGATAGCCTTTTCCCAATATTTATATATACTTATATACTAATATACACATATAAATAAGTACTTGGCTTATGTCCCCTGTTCCATTGGTCTATTTTTCAGTCTTCATGCCAATATCACACTATCTTAATCATTATAAATTTACAAGTCTTGATAGTGAGTAGGCCAATTTTTCTCAAGCTTTTTTTTTCCTTCAAAGGTGTCTTAATTATTCTGTCTTTAATTTTAGTATCCATTTTTCTTCAAGCGTGTCTTAACTATTCTCAGTCTTTTAATATTAGTATTTTTAGGTTAATTTTAGAATAAGTTTGTCAGGTTCTGGAAAATACCTGACTGGTATTTTGTTTTGTTTTCATGTCAGATGGTTAACGTGCCTACATCATAACAGGGTTCGAGGGAGGCACATCTCATGCATGAGGGTGAAAACCCAGTCATCACTTACGAACTACAAAAGGATCTGCCTGGTAGTTTGACTGGGATTGCACTGAATCTTCATATGCATTTGGAAGAACCAACATCTTCATACTCCGTGTGAGCTTGAAAAATAATATGCATTCTATGGTTGTTGACTGCAGACCTCTATATATGGACATTAAGTAGTTTTGTTAGTCATGCTGTTCAAATTTTCCACATTATTAATAATTTTTGTCTGCTGCTTCTATCAATTACTGACAGAGGTATTTCATCATATCCCACTATAATTGCAGACTTGTCTATTTCTCTTTGTAGTTCTATCAATTTTTGATTTATGTATTTTAAGCATATTATTAAAAGTATAGAAATTTAAAACGCGATAAAGCCAAATTTTTAAAAATTCAAAAGCAAAGAAACTAGCAACTATAAAAAGTGGTAACAAACTTGAAAAAAAACCTGGAAGTTCTAGAATTGGGGAAAAAGGCAATAACAAAAGTTAAGAATTCAATGGATGGCTTTAATCCCAAATTAGATACAGCAGAATTATTAAACTAAAAATTAGGTTAAAAGAATCTATCAAGATGAAGTATGGACAGCAGACAAAAAGATGGAAAATACAGAGAAGTAGGTAAAAGACATAGAACATGCAATGAGAATATGCAGCGCGCAATTAATTGTTATTCCCAAAAGAGAAGCAAAAGCAATATTTGAGAAGATAGAGAATTTTCCAAAACTGATTAATTTAAGAAGCCTAGAGGGCTTAAGTCGACCAGGACCATCTTAATCCAATTTCAAGGCTTGGGGTTTTGTGATCTACCCGGAGGACTGGAAGCTCAGTTGTGGGAGCTGTTTTATTCCTGATTAACTCCTACTTACCAGGGTGAAATCCTTGATGGGTTCTGAATTCTTTTTTTTTTTTTTTTCTTTTTCTTTTTTTCATTTTTTGAGACGGAGTCTCGCTCTGTCGCCAGGCTGGAGTATAGTGGTGTGATCTCGGCTCACTGCAAGCTCCGCCTCCCGGGTTCACGCCATTCTCCTGCCTCAGCCTCCCAAGTAGGTGGGACTACAGGCGGCTACCATCACGCCCAGATAATTTTTGTATTTTTAGTAGAGACGGGGTTTCACCATGTTGGCCAGGATGGTCTCAATCTCTTGACCTCGTGATCCGCCCGCCTCGGCCTCCCAAAGTGCTGGAATTACAGGCCTGAGCCACCGCGCCCGGCCAGGTTCTGAATTCTTATTGTTTTTCACTCTAGTCTCAGAAAGCTGCCAAAGTGCAGCTCAGAACCTTAGATACTGTATCAGCTAGTGACCATTGAGAAAAATGAAACCACCCTATATTTCTAGCAGAGAAGGATTTAGTTGTTTATAATCAGAGAATTGGTAGTAAAAATGTTGCAAGAACTGGAGAAGTGAAAGGGAAAGGAAATATCACCCAGAGATCAAGAAGTCACCTTAACCCCTGGGTTGTAGTCCACCAGCCCACACGATTGCCACTGCTCCTGGCACTGCTACTGAAAATGACCTACCGCTTCTAAGAAGCTCAGGAGTTAACCCCATCAATGCTGCAGAAACCAACACCAAAGTTGTTGGAGCCTACAATAAGTCACTGTCAGAAGTGGAAAAATGGCTTTTTTCTCTCCTCGTCCAATCAACTTAAGACCACGGGGGCAACGCTATAGTTCGAAAAAGACAGATTTATTCGTCTGTTGCAACGAGGGAAACACCAGAGGAACCATGGAGCATCTCACCAAACACCAGGAAAGACAGCGTTATTACAGGATTTGGGAGAAGTGTACAGTTTAGATGAAATTAAAGTGAAGCAGTGTTTGAATAGGCTCAAAGCAAAACAAGGCTGTGTGTAAAGGGTCAATATCATATCTGGACTGCAAAGTGGATCAGAGTCCTGTTTCCTTCGAAACTAAAAAGTTAAGATACATGTGGTATGTTGTGTCTAGAAATCACTTATCTGAAACTCAGCATACAGATTGGATATCAAGTTTGCTTCTCTATATCAAAGAGGCTCAGATCCTTCAGGCAAAACTGAGATGTGTTTTATTCTTATAGATATAATTTCAAACCACAAATGATTTTTGGAAAAGGTATTTTCCAATGAGTAGGAAAGCAGTGGTGATTTAAAGAAGATATTATGACACTATACAACTGCAGCATGGCCTTAGAGAAATATTGTTTCCCATTAACTTTACACTTTGGCAGCTTTCTGGAACTAGAGAGAAAAACATTAAGAATCCAGGACCTATCAAGGCTTTATCTGTGGCTGTTGCCCTAGCCTGTTGAATGGCAGGACAGATTGTTACTTTCTCAGTCTGGGTTCACTGTTATATTCTCATCCCTTTCTTCCATTTTCAGTCTTCCTCTAGTGTTTCCCATTGCCAGAACCTAACTAGATCTCAGCTGGCAAGAAAGTCTGGGAAAAGTAGTTTTCAGGCTTGTTGCCCTGAGATACAAAGCAAAGAGATGAAATGGAGCTGAGAGCCAAGAGGAAAAACAACTGACAGAATATATCTTTTCAAGTTCAGTAAATGCTCAAGAACAAAGTAGTCTTGGATGATGATCTCATCTCTCTAGTTTCTCATCTCCACCGAGATCTTAGCCCATAGTTCCTGACTACCTTTTTCATTCTCTGACACATAAAATGATTTTTAGATTTTCCAGCTATTTTAGTTGTTTGAACAGAGTGGATATTTTAGCAAAATTACCTACTTCACCATTACCCATCCCTTCTACTTTCTGTTCAGTCTTATCAAACTAATCTTCCTAAACTCAGCTCTGATCATGTCACTTCCCTTTTCAAATATCTCACATGGTTCTGTGTCTCCTGAAAAAATCTAACATTTTTACCTGATATTCAGGGACCTCTATGATCCACTTTTGATGTAACACTTCATTCATAATTATCTTCCTCTACTCTCTCATAGGAATAGGATGAGTCACTTCTACAAGAGACTAGGGTCACCAGCCATGGTGGCTCATTCCCGTAATCTCAGCACTGTGAGAGACTGAGGCAGGAGAATCACTTGGGTCCAGGATTTCAGGACCAGCCTGGGCAACATAGCAAGACCTCGTCTCTACTAAAAATTTAAAAATTAGCTGGGTGTGGTGGCATGCACCTGTAGTCCAAGCTACTGAGGATGCTGATGCAGGAGGATCGTTTGAGCCCAGTAGGCTGAGGCTGCAGTGAACTATGATCATTCCACTGCGCTGTGGTCTGGGTGACAGAGCTAGCCCCTGTCTCGAAAAAAAAAAAAAGAGATGAGAGTCAAGCCACCAGTATGAGACTGCCTTCTTTAAAGCACAAGGACCACGGGTGGATGTTTATAACAAGCAATATCAATCACCGTCCTTCTGTGCTTTTCAAATGAACCTGGGACAGAGTCCCCATTTTCTGCGGTAAGGATCGGAGCCCAGGGTTTCCCATGCATATGTGTCCTGCTTTAAGGAAGCTGGTCTGACGAAATAAAGTCGTTGGGAAAAGCAGTCTTATGTGCACAGCATTTCAACCTCCTCTGGGCTGTGCAAGAACTGGACTTGGGCCTAAAACACTTCCTTACAAAGAGAAAAGGAGTCCTCACAGGCTGCACTGGACTTATCACCTTGTGTGGGAATGCTTTGCCCTGTTTCAGACTCAATGTGTACCCCTTTGTTCTGCTTAAGCATGTGTGTCTTATGGCATTCGACCAACCCCACCACTGTTCTATATACAGCTATAGTCTATCTGTGCCTGCAGGGAGGGGATGGGGTCCTTCCGCCATATATCCGTTCATGCAGGGAGGGGATGGGGTCCTTCTGCTGTAACACAGAGGGATGTGTTGCAGGCTCAACAGAGGACCTCAGACATTACACTCTCAGCATTGGGTTCTCATCTCCATTATAAATCCTATTGGTGTAGCAACAGCTGTCAAGAGGTGGCTCAATATGTGCAAATGAGAAATGAGACCAGCCAGTGTGTAGACAGGAACATTTTGCCTGTAGATGGTCCTTGATGCTGACCTCAATAGGTTATGTGAGCTCAGGACAGAAGGCAATTTTTCTTAGATTGCACCATTCAATGTCCTTAAATTCAGTGCAACCCAAAATGTTTTTCCAAGCTATCACTTCAGTAAAATTGAATCCATATTATTTTAATTCATGGACAATTGACCAGTTAACAAGTTGTATGGTGAGAACAAGTTAATGTCTCCAAACTTTTCAAACCTTGTATTGAAACTCATTTTTTCAGTTATTTTTCTTGGAAACAAAAAGCTTATTATGCAAAAAATAAGTAAATAAATAAACAAACTAACCCCAAACTCCATATGGTCTCAATTAGTCAAGCCCTAGGGGAGCTTAGAAGTGTGTGGTGGGGGAAAGGGTTTGTGACCTAAGAGAACCCATGTTTCTCCCTTTATAAGACTGTAATTCTTCCCTCTCTTTGACTTTCAGATCTCCCCTCCAGATCTATGACATCAAATTTTTCACCCAACGTATTTTATAGTTGTAAAGGGTTTTTTCATCTATCATTTCACTAGATCCTCAGTAAAACCCTATGAAGTCAGCATCTCTAGACAGTAATTTTGTTCCCATTAAGTAGAAGGGAAGGTGAGGCTGAAAGAAGTTAGATATCTAAAGGCTCACAGTGTGATATCAAGCCTTCAAAATAGCCCCCAGTGACCCCTGCCTCCCACATTGTACCAGGATTGGCCAGTGTGACCAATAGCAATCAGCTGAAGTAATGCTTTGTCACTTCCAATACTAGGTTATAAAAAGTCAATGACTTCAGTCTTAAGATCTCATGTTCATTCTCTCTCTCTAACACACCTCTCTCTCTCTCTCTCTCTCTCTCCCTCTCTCTCTCTCCTATGACAGGCCAATGTGATAAGGAACTGAAGTCTCCAGCCAACAGCTAGAAAGAAACTGAGACCTGCCAAAAACCATATGAGTGAGATTGAAAGTAGATCCTTCAGCCCCAGTCAAGCCTTCTGATGAGTTAAACACAGAAAAGGGTGAGCAATTCAGATTCATATTGACTCTGAAATATTGAAGTCACCTTTAGGCCATAAATTGCACCCATGTTATGGATATTAGATAGCATCTACTAAAGCCTTCTCATTTTATAGATGAGGAAAATGACACCCAGAAAGGAGAGGGACTTACCCCAGGTCACACAGCAAATGGTAGAAACAAGACCAGGACCCAGGCTCTCTCATATTGTATAGGAGTCTTCTATTACTTTTCCATCATCAAGACTGCTCTTAAATGTTTTCCAATGATGGTGTTCCTGGAGGCAGGCTAAACAGGTCAATCTCAGGCCAAAATTTAAAATGAATAGCAGAAATCATTAATGTATCCCCATGCCCTACTTCACAAATGGATTTTGGGGGGAATTTTGCTTAAATCTGAGACAAGCTAAAGGAAAAGAGAAGAGAGATGCTGATGCTGCATTTTTTTAAGAGCTGGGTCAGAGACACAGAAGAGAGAAATGAAATGAGGTTACTGACCACCCACTTTAAAACATTATACAATTCATATGGATCTTAAGAGGGCACCAAGAAAGAATGTTTATCAATTTCCCATAAAAATATGAAGTCAGTCTTTTAATAAGACACAAATATTGCAACTTCTTGGAGCAATTTTGCTGAGTGGGCTGAACTGGTATAGAATGCCCTTGTTACATATATCTTCACTATAATATACCCACTTAGTAATTTAGTGCTTGAGACCATCAAAATTATTTTGCGTTGCCATGTATTAGATTTCCAGTAATGGACAAAGCATTTTCACTGATCCATCTCTGCATGCACTGTAGTAGTTTAAATACTTTAACATCATTACAATTAAATACAAATGTTCTCCAAATATTTTTACTAACATTTAATTTATTTAAATGTCTAAAGCTACTGAAGTAAAGGTGAATAAGGTGAGTCATGTTAAAATGGTTACTAGCCTGATCGATGGGCCAAGAAGATACTGGGGAAAAAGAAATGGTCCCAAAATTAGCCCATAGTCAGCGATAAATAGGCCTAAATACCGACTGGGAAGCCCTGCTTCACTACTAACAAGAAAGAGGACACTCTCTCCCAACTTAGTTATAACAACAGTCACTACTAACATTTATTGAGCATTTACTCTATGCTAAGCAGTGTACCAAGCACTTCATATGTGTTATTTTGCATAACCTTTATAAGAACCCTATCAGGTAGCTAGTATTACATTTATTTTACCCATTTTATAGATTAAAAATATGAAACTTAAGGAAATTAATTAGCTTTACCAAGATCTACTGGCTAATAAGAGTAGATCTCAGAGATTCAATGACACCAGGCCTCTCTCTCCACCTCTCATTTCTTTTTTTTTTCCCCCACCTCTCATTTCTTTCTCATTCTCAACATCAACTTTATTCTTCAGCCTCCTCCATGTGTCTAGAAATGGGCAAAAGAGGTTCTGGGGTGACATTTATAAAGTTATTGATCCAAGGAAAAGTCTCTAGTTTGCATCCAATCCCAGGGAAGACGTAGATTAGCCTGGCTTAGGCCACATACCCAATTCTGGGTCAATCATTATGTCTGAGAAGGCTCCATGATTACCTATATCCATGGTCATATACCCACCCCTGCGATCAATAAAACAGATGCTATGACTGGCAGCATTATCAGGTTCCATTATTGTAGTGGATCAGCATCCTAAAGGAAGTGGAAGGGTGCCAGACAGACAAAAACAGATACCCACTTTAGTAGCCTGTCGTGGTAGTGGTAAACCCCAGAGTGGAGAAGTGTCCAGGCAATGGTCAGTCCAGAGGAATTCCATAAAGAAGATGAAATGTCAGCTGGGTGCCGTGGCTCATGCCTGTAATCCCAGCACTTTGAGAGGCTGAGGCAGGCAGATCGCTTGAGGCCAGGAGTTTGAGACCAGCCTGGCCAATATGGCGAGACCCCATCTCTACTAAAAATACAAAAATTAGCCTGGCATGGTGGCATACACCTGTCATCCCAGTTTCTTGGGAGGCTGAGGCAGGAGAATTACATGAACCCAGGAGGCAGAGGCTGTGGTGAGCAGAGATCGCACCACTGCACTCTAGCCTGGGTGACAGGGCAAGACTCAGTCTCAAAAACAAAACAAAACAAAACAAAAAAACAGTTGAAACATGAAGAAAGGCATGAAGATGTTAAATATCATAATGCATCCAGAGATCTGCAAGTATTTTAGATGTGTCTGGATAGTAAGATGTGTATGGCAAGGGAGAGAGATCTGAGATTAAAGGCTGTGAAGAACTTTGTACAATACCCTAAGGAGCTGGTGCTTCATTCTAAAAGCAAGGATAAAGTCATTGAAGGGTTTTAAGAAAGGGGAAAATATGAGGGGTTCTGATTGTGAGAAAGATTAGTCTTTGGACAAATATAAAAGGAAGGTTAGGAGTAGAAAAGTCAGTGAGAAAATCTACAATAGTCCAGGCAAGAGAAAGTGAGAAAATGAACAGCAGCAGTTTGCAGTGGGCTTGGTGATCAAGATATATATATATATATATATGCGCGCGCGTGTGTGTGTGTGTGTGTATTTTTTTTTTTTTTTTTTTTTTTTTTTTTTTTTTTTTGAGAGAGACAGGGTCTCACTCTGTCACCCAGGCTGGAGTGCAGTAGCACAATCTCAGGTCACTGCAACCTCCGCCTCCCGGGTTCAAACGATTCTCCCGCTTCACAGTAGCTGAGATTACAGCCTCAAGAGTAGTCAGGATTACAGGTGCCTGCCACCAAGCCCAGCAAACTTTTTGTATTTTTAGTAGAGATGGGGTTTCACCATGTTGGCCAGGCTGGTCTTGAACTCTTGACCTCAAGTGATGCACCCGCCTCGGTCTCCCAAAGTGCTGGGATTATAGACGTGAGCCACTGAGCCCAGCCATTGTCCCTTATATATTAAGGTGGTAGAATAAAGTTGACTATGTCATAACAGTGAGTTATTCATCCCAGTATGTGCATTGGAATTGAGGTGAATTAATTCCTTTTCTGTAACATTTTCTAATAAATTGCATCTACTTCTTGAGCTTAAATTGAATAAATAAAGTATCTCACAAAAATGTAAAGTTTTACTGTATTCATAGCCTTGTGGTTAAGATTATACTCCGTAGGAGATACCAATAAATATGCTTATGTAAATGGCAGACCATCACAGGAGAGTTTATTCGCAAATGAAGTTGTGAGAAATTTCAGCAATAAAATAGCAGATAAAGTAGTGATAATTTAAATTTAATAATTCAGAATATATATAGGTATAATTTTAAAGGGACATGTGTTCCCCCTGGCTAATGTTCTTTCTTGTTTGCCATTTTATGTTCATCAGTTTGTTAATATTCTTTAACCTCCTCTCTTATCTTTAAGACAAAAGGTAATGAACTAGCCCGATGCTTTGTATTCCCATAGTCACTTGGGTTAATAGTTTTCCTTTTCCTCTTCTACTTTCTTTAAATCTATTGAGATTTGTAGCAATAGTTCAGCCATAATTATGACCTAGAAAAATTGTGAATAGGAAAATAGGGCAATCACTTCACTATGTATATGTATATCAAAACATCATATTGTATGCTTTAAATATATACAGTTTTTAAAAGAAAGAAAAATGTGGCTTTTAGTTTTCTTTTTCAATGTATGTTAAGTGCCTAGCGCAGCAGCTGGCCGGAAGGAGGAGCTCAGACGCAGGCAAAACAGGGCTTGATCTGCATCCTGCTAGTCCGTGCCCTCCCATATGCAAATGAAGCCCTGGCAGAAGAAGTCCATCCGTTGAAGTGCTTCCTAGTGAACTCTCTGCCATGTCTGCTATTTAGTTCCTTCTACGTCTTACCCAGAAAATAGAGGCTTGTTTAGGGCTATTATAGTCAGTAATCTTTCATGATAAATAATCATAAATCAGACATGCAGAATATCTACTCTCCTCCTAAAGAAAAAATAAGTAATTTCTTACAATGCCAATCAGTTGGTTTGTTTTTGCTCCAGTAGACTGGCTGAGAGCCATTAATAGAAGGAAATGCACATTGCAGGTAACTGGAAGGATAAATCTTAGTAAAATTAGTACAATAAACCTTTCTCAATTACAAATATACTTCATATAATTCTAATACAGGTGACCCTGGCTTTAAGCCTGCTGCTGAACTTACAATCCTTCCTACTTTGACATTACTGTAAAGACCAAACCCCATACTGAGGACTATTAATTTCTGCAAGCAATGCTTCAGCATTTTGATTGCCAGCCTGATATGCTTACCGAGTATCATATGACAATAACTCAGCTACCATGGTCTACAGGTACACTTAGAGTAAGTGAATCTCTTTCAAGCTGCTCTACATTTTATTTTAGCATGTTTTCTGTAAACTTTTAAATGCCCTGCTCTTCATTGTGTCTAAGAAAAAGATGTGATGGAATGCATAGAGTACCAAAACTACTTAAAAAAAAGGTGAGATAATCCATCTCTTTGAAAAGGAAACATGAGAGTTTTAACAGTAAGAGAAATGAATGTGAATGAGCAAACTTCCAAGTCCACTTGTCACACTCACAAACACAAGCACAACTCTGAAGTTCAAGGAAACATCTCTGGAGACTCTGAAGAGCACTGAGCCAATGCAATGGTATTTTTAAAAATAAAATGGAATGATTTATCACATGGAAGACCTTACATTGTGTGATGGGGGGTGCCAAAGCCATGCTCCACTTCTTTGTCTAGTTGAATAGAGCAAGTCACCTTGGAAAGGGGCTTCCTTAGTCAAAATATAATTTTCAAGGGCCTCTCTTATCTAATAGATACTCACTGCTCCAGAAATGTCTGTAACAGATTTTTTTTTAATGTTCTGACAAAGGCAGGCCCTTGCAGTGTGTAACTTGTGGCAGGAGAAGTTACACCAAGTTTAATGATTTTTCTTTAGGCTTTTTAAGAAGGCAGGAACAAAGACCTCAACACTTGCTCCCCAAAATTCAAAGTTAAGAAAAACAGAGTAGATCAGGATTGGCTGACCCAAGTTCTGCTGGCCAAGGAGACCTAAAGGATATTAAAAGTAAACTCACCACTGGGACTGAGCTGATGTCCAGTTCCAGCACAGGAATCTTAAGAGTTCTGGTCCAGGCTGGAGCTAGAAGCACCTCTAAACTTGATTGCCTGGCACCATAATTCCTGCTTTGAAAATGCAATGGCTGAACATGCAAATTCAAACAACAATGAAAAGGCTCCAGCAATCAAGCCTGTGGCACTACAAGCAGAACCTGGGTAAGCACAAGCATTGTTCCAGGGTCTATAAGAGTCCATTGTAACCTGCAAGGCTAACCTTCAGATAAGATATAGAGCACCTGCAAAAGCACCATCAGGGCTGACCTGTTTCTACATTTATCACACCAGAATTTCAACTGATTAGAAAATTGGAAATGAAGGAAAGTCCATAGAATGAAAACATTAACTGCCTGTTAAAAGGTCATGTCAGGAATTGAACATTTAATTCAATATAAATTCAATAAATTCAAAAATTAATTCAAAGTAATTGTGTTTCTAATGAAATTAAGAAGCAATTCCAGGCCGGGCACAGTGGCTCATGCCTGCAATCCCAGCACTTTGGGAGGCTGAGGCCGGTGGATCACCTTAGCTCAGGAGTTGGAGAGCACCCTGGGCAATATGGTGAAACCTCATCTCTACTGAACGTACAAAAATTAGCCAGGCGTGGTGGCGGGCACCTGTAATCTCAGCTACTCAGGAGACTGAGGCAGGAGAATCGCTTGAACCTGGGAGGTGGAGGTTGCAGTGAGCCGAGATAGAGCCATTGCACTCCAGCCTGGGCGACAAGAGTGAAACTCTGCCAAAAAAAAAAAAAAAAAAAAAAAAAGAAATAATTGCATTTACAATAGCATCCAAAATAATGAAATACTTAGGAATAAAGTTAACAAAAAAAAATACAAAACATACGCTTTGAAAACTACAAAACATTGTTGAAAGAAATTAAAGAAGATCTAAAAACATAGAAAATCGTCCCAAATTCATCGATTTAAAGAATTCATGTTGTTAAAATGGCAATATTCCCCAAACTGATCTACAGTTTCAATGCAATCCTAATCAAAACCCGAGCTGCCTTTTGGAAGAAACTGACAAGCTAATCCTGAAATTCACATAGAAATGCAAGAGACCCAGTATAGCCAAAACAATATTGAAGAAAAATGAAGCTGAAGGATTCACACTTTCTGATTTACTACAAAACTTACTACACAGCTGAAATAATCAAGACAGTAGTGTGCTACTGGCATAATGATAGACATATAGAGTATAATTGAGAATTCAGAAATGAACCCATACATTTATGCACAATTGTTTTTCTACCATGATACCAAGACCATTTAATGGAGAAGGAATAGTCTTTTCCACAAATGGTTCTGAGAAAACTGGATATTCATATACAAAAAAAAAAATGTGTACCACTTCCATACACAAAAATGAACTAATTTTTAATTCAAAATAATTGTGTTTCTAATGAAATTAAGAAGCAATTCCAGGCCAGGCACGGTGGCTCATGCCTGTAATCCCAGCACATAAAAGTTGATCATAGTCCTAAATGTAAGAGCTAAAATATAAAACTCATAGAAGAATGCTGTATTAGGGTTCTCTAGAGAGACGAAACTAGTAGGAGATATATATATATAAAATACTTAATAAACTTCCCTTTACATATATATATCATATATATGATATAGTTATATCATATATATGATATATATAATAGTTGTATCAACTAACACTCTACTGTAAAAAGCATGAGTCTCCCCATCAATCTGCATCCTCACCTGCATTTTGTTTTTCAAACTTCTTGATTTTTTGCATTTTATGTGCACATATATATGAGATATATATATAAAGGGAAGTTTATTAAGTATTAACTTACACAATCACAAGGTCCCACCATAGGCTATCTGCAAGCTGAGGAGCAACAAGAGCCAGTCTGAGTCTCAGAACTGAAGAACTTGGAGTCCCTTGTTGGAGGGCAGGAAGCATCCAGCCCTGGAGAAAGATGTAGGCTGGGAGCCTAGGCCAGTCTCTCATTTTCATGTTTTTCTGACTGCTTTATATTCCCTGGCAGCTGATTAGATTGTGCCCACCAGATTAAAGGTAGATCCGCCTTCCCCAGCCCAGTGACTCAAATGTTAATCTCTTTTGGCAACACCCTCACAGACACACCCAGGATCAATAGTTTGTATCCTTCAATCCAATCAAGTTGACACTCAGTATTAACCATCACACATACATAGGTGCAAATCTTTGTGGTCTTGTATAGGACAGTGGTTTCTTAGATGTAACACCAAAAGCACAAGAAACAAGAGTTTCTTGAAAAGGACAAATTTGACTTTATAAGAATTTAGAATTTTTATCCTTCAGAGGACACCACCAAGAAAATGAAAAGACAACCTGCAGAATGATAGAAAATATCTGCAAATATTGTTTACAATAAAGAATCTGGTATCCAGAGTGTATTCTAAAAACTATCGTAAAGTCACCAATAAAAAGACAATTCAGTTTTTAAAGGGGTAAAGGAATTTTTTTTTTTTTTTTTTGAGATGGAGTCTCACTCTGTCACCCTGGCTGGAGTGCAGTGGAGCGATCTCTGCCCACTACAAGCTCCACCTCCCAGGTTCACGCCATTCTCTTGCCTCAGCCTCCCGAGTAGCTGGGACTACAGGCGCCTACCACCACACCCAGCTATTTTTTGTATTTTTAGTAGAGACGGGATTTCACTGTGTTAGCCAGGATGGTCTCGATCTCCTGACCTCATGATCCACCCACCTTGGCCTCCTAAAGTGCTGGGATTACAGGCGTGAGCCACCACACCCAACTAATTTTTTGTATTTTTAGTAGAGATGGAGTTTCACCGTGTTAGCCAGGATGGTCTCGATCTCCTGACCTCGTGATCTACCCACCTTGGCCTCCCAAAGTGCTGGGATTACAGGTGTGAGCCACCATGCCTGGCCTTAAAGGGGTAAAGGATTTTAATAGACATTTCTCCAAAGAAGATACACAAATGGCCAATAAACATGTAAGAATACACTCAATCTCATTAATCAATGCAAATCAAAACCACGTAAGATACCACTTCACACTCACTAGAATGGCTATAATAAAAAAGATGGGTAATAACAAGTGTTGGCAAGTATGTGGAGAAATTGGAACCCTCACATACTGCTAACGGAAGTGTCAAATGGTGCAGCCACTATAAAAAACAGTCTGGAAATTTCTTAAAAGTTTAAACATAAAGTTACCATGTGATCCAGCAATTCCACTCCTCCCAAGAAAAATGAAAACATATTTATACAAAAACCTGTACAGAAACATTCATAAAAGTATTATTCACAATAACCCAAAGTGGAAATAACACAAATATCCATCAACTGATGAATAGTTAGCCAAATGCTGTCTATTCATACAGTGGAATATTATTCAGCCACAAAAAGGAAAGAAGTACAGATATATGTTACAATATAAACTGTGAAAACATTATACTAAGTGAAATAACTCAGTACAAAGGCTATATATTATATGATTCCATTAATGTGAAAAATCCAAAATAAGTAAATCTATAGAGACAGAGTGGCTGTCTAGGGTGGGCAGGGGAAGGTTAGGGAGTTGACAGAAGAATTGACAGGGCTTCTTTGGGCATGATGAAAATATTCCGAACTTAGATCATAGTGATGGCTCTGCAACTGTGTGAATATACTATAAGCCATTAAATTATACATTTTAAAGGGATAACTTTTATGGAATATAAATTATATCTCAATAATGATGTTTACAAAAGAAATATACAAGTACGTTCTTATTTTCTCTAGGAAATGGAGATAACATTTTCCTGTGGGGCTATACAAACTTTAAAGAATCCACTTATTTTATATATTTCTCATAAAAAGATTCAGCATGGAGAAACAGTATACAGTAGTAGGTAAGAGCATGAACTCTGGAGCTGGACACCCCAGAACCAAAATATGACCCAGGCTGGAGTCACAGTTCAGTGCAGCCTCGACTTCCCAGGCTTAAGTAATCCTCCCACCTCAGCCTCCCAAGTAGCTGGGACCATACAAGTGCACCACCACACCCGGCTAATTTCTTACTAGATAATTTTTTTGTAGAGATGAGTTCTTCCTGTTTTTCTCAGGCTGGTCTCAAACACCTGGGTTCAAGTGATCCTCCTCCCTTGGCCTCCCAAAGTGCTGGTATTACAGATGTGAGCCACCATGCCTGGCCCAGTTGTATCATCCTATACCTCAGTTTTTTCATCTGAAAAACAGGGATAACAGTAAAACTCACCTCACTAAATTGCTGGAAAGATTAAATGAAAAGTGTTTAGCATAGTGCCCAACATGAAGTTAAGTGCAAAATAAAGTTTAATATTCAAAATAATTTTAATATACATATTTAATGTAGTCTTTAAGAAAATGATAAGGTTGCTTGCATGGGGGAGAGAATCTGTAGACTAGGTGAAGGATGCAGGAGGAAGATATTTCACACTGTATCATCTTTTCATATTTTTAGATTTTTGAATCATGTAAGTGTATTACACATGCACTGAAAAAATTAATTTAATTAGTTATTTTTTAAAAAATAAAGCAGACTGTAACTGTACTCCCAAACTGGTCTAGCAGGCTAGACTAGTTATGCTCGCATGACTGTAGGATCAGGTAGAGCAAATCTAATACCTGGCGAAAATGTTGGCAAAGGTATGCATCTCATCCAGATGATGCATCCAGATGGCATGTTGGAAGATACGCAACAGAAAAGTTTTTATTGTAAGCAATAGGTAGATGTGTTTCTTCAGATAGAAAACTGATTGATAGGGAGGCTGAGGCAGGCAGATCACGAGGTCAGGAAATCGAGACCATCCTGGCTAATACGGTGAAACCTCATCTCTACAAAAAATACAAAAAATTAACCAGGCGTGGTGGTGGGCACCTCTAGTGCCAGCTACTCGGGAGGCTGAGGCAGAGAATTGCTTGAACCCAGTAGGCAAAGGTTGCAGTGAGCCAAGATTGTGCCACTGCACTCCAGCCTGGGCGACAGAGCGAGACTCCGTCTCAAAAAAAAAAAGAAAAGAAAAGAAAACTGATTGATAAAAAAATTAAACAGCTGCTGGGCATGGTGGCTTATCCTTGTACTTCTAGCACTTTGGGAGGCTGAGGTGGGTGGATCGCTTGAGCTCAGGAGTTCAAGACTAGTCTGAGCAACATAGTGAAACTCTTTCTCTACCAAAAATATAAAAATTTGCCTGGGATGATAGCATGTGCCTGTGGTCCCAGCTACTCGGGAGGCTGAGGAAGGAGGATTGCTTGAGCCTGGGATGTGGAGGTTGCAGTGAGCTATGATTACGCCACTGCACTCCAGTCTGGGTAACAGGGTGAGACCTGTCTCAAAAAAAAAAAAAAAAAAAAAAAAAAAAAAAAAAAAAAAAAAAAAAAAAAGATGTGGTGGTTAGGAGCATGGAATCTGGAACTAGACTTCCTGGTTTGAATTCCAGCTTTCTTATGACATTGAGTAAGATTTTTTTAACCTCTCTGTGCCTCAGTTGTCTTATCTGTAATGTGGGGATACTATCTTAGGGTTTGTGAGAATTGCAATAACACTTAGACCAGAACCTGGTGTATAGTAGTGCTACAGAAATGTTAGCTATTGTAATTATTGGGGAAATTGCAAGCACTGACACAGAGGCATGGAAGAATTATCTGAAAAGTTAAATTATCCCTTGGTTTCCAGAAAAAGAAAAATGAAAAGTTAAATTAAAATATCAAAAATACAGGCTATCATTTGAGAAAGCTCTTTCACACTGACAAATAAAAATATTTTGGAGGCAAATGTCTTAGACATAATGCACGCTCAAGGAATCAGGAACATTTATAAATTGACAAACTATCAATAATTTAGTTGAAATTAATAAAAGGAAAAAGAAAAACAAAGGAGAGAAAGGAAATGTTGCCAAAGAGTCATTCTTCTGTTACTTACTATTGGCAAATTTCAAAGGCATCCATGAACACTGAAATCAGAAATGAAAATTGTTGAGAAAGGCAACTCTAATTTTGAACACTTCAAAGGTGCTTGGAGAATGAAGAAATTCCCATTGCTAGAAGAGCTTTCCAATGAAAAGACATACCTTTTATTCAAACTTCACTGGACACTTATTTGAAAACTACTATTCTTCCTATACAAGGTCTTTGGGGAAAAATATATCAGATTCATTGCATGTGTGACACATGCATAAAGAAGGAAGCATGATAGTAAAATGAATGCCTATGGATCCATCACCCGCTTAAGACTTGGAGTATTAACAAAATTACTGTATCTATATGTGCTCCTTCCCTAGCTCATTCTCTAGCTTCCTTCTCAGTATGTTGTTTTTAGGCATTTTAAAAATGGTACCATTCTATATGTACTATTCTACTGTATGACTTTTTTTCTCACTCAGTAATATTTTTAAAGATTCATTCATAA